>NC_000010.11:53930974-54082489 GCF_000001405.40 Homo sapiens
GGTCAATATGGGAGTAAAGGAAGAAAATACGGATGCTTAACAGAATGAGACAGGAAGAAGAGATAAAATGTAGGGAGTCTAGAGGGCCAGAAAGTTTGAGTGCAGGAAGAATGAAAAATCAACACCTAATTTCTAACTGAATTGAAGAGAGAGAAAACTCCAAAGCTTTTCAGATTCCCTGCAATTTCAAGTACTGGGAGGAAGCTCCTAAGCACATTCCCATGATTAAAACAGTGTACTGTCTCCATCTGTAATAATGACTAAACCACTGTTATGAAAAGGCTGCAAATCAGGGGTGGTGAGGTGGGAGTGGGCAGAACTGGAGCTTAGTTAGCAGTCAGCCATCAGGTGGATTGTATGAGTGGTATGTATGCTACAAATTTGCATACTGTTAGCTTGATATTTAAAACGCTTCACAATCTGGCCTTAATTTTCCAGACTCACTCATGCATTGGACAAATCTTTATTGGGGGTATTTATGTGCCATGCATTTTAGGCTATTGGGATACATCAATAAACAAAACAGATACAAACTTCTGTCGTTGCGCAGACTAAATCCATTTTAACAATATCCACTAAATTCTGTTCTACAGTCTCACTGAAACAATATTCTTAATATGAAAATATAGAATTATAAAACTCTATTATTTTCTTTCATACTATCTCTTTAATCCTGCTAATATGGGCTAATATCTTTCCTGCTGTTGAATAAAAGCTCAAGAAATTTTATAATTTTTAAAAAAATTGTTAATAGTACTATGGTAAAGGTAACTTTAAAAAGAATTTAAAAATGATTCTCTAGTTCAATATATGAATCTAATACTCCAAATTTCATTTAAAGGTAAAATGTCCTTCCCCAGCTTAGATATGTTAATGGAAGTTCCTCTGCCTTTGGGGAAGAGGCTGTAAGAGATTTCTTTTTACTTTTTTCTTTATTAACTACCACCACCTCCTTCATTCACTAGCAGTTGATTTTTATCACTCAGACTTCTATTACCTGACCTTGGAGATTATGGAGAAAAGGCATGTAAGGTAGGTAGCGAAGTTCCTACTTCAATATTACTGTTGTGAAATGGCTGAATACTCTTTGGGTCAGACCTGGGTTTAAAACAGACATGGTCAATGAGAGCATCTTCAGCACTGGTATGCTTTTCTTCAGCAACTTCAGTTTGCCAGCATACTTCAGTTAATTCCAGTTTGTCATTTTATAGGAATTCTGCGGTCTATGTCCAGTTTTTGCCTTTTGCAGTATCATCACTCCTTCAGGTAATCCTACCGAACAGGATTTAAGAAAACTGGCATTCACCTGTGTCCCAAATCTGGTCCTTTGGGTTGGTTTGGGTATAATTATGCAGGCAAAGAACAGTCACAGGCTCTTTGCCTGCATACTTATAGAAGCACAGACCTTTCTAGATGTAGCTGTAATATAATGTAATACTCCAGTCATTGTAATTGCTTGTTGCTCTTTTTCTGTCTACATTTATCTGATATGTCTCAAACATGGATTTGCTGTGCTAGGCCAACATAAGGGCAGCGTTTTTTACTGTAGTTGCCAATGTTAAACTTGAGAAGGGAAAGCATATATTTCCCCAGCCATTGTATTTTGGGGAAAAGTATACTGTTGAAGTGAATTCAAGTACAACTTTACAACAACCCTCCCCTATAAAGGAATACTCATACAAAGTCACTTCTAAATTTTAATTCGCGTGACCATTTTCAATTCTCCTCGAGAGTAATGGTGTTCAGAGTGTTAAACTCTGTTACTGGAACATGATGGTTTTGGTCTAGGTTCTGCTGCTTGCCACACAGATGGGCAATCACTGAGACAATGAGTATTGCTAGGGAAGAAGGTTTTAATCCAATCGGGTGCTGCAGCTGAGGACATGGGAGATCAGTCTCATGGAGACAGATCCCTCATGGCTTGGTGTTGTCTTTGCCATAGTGAGTTCTCACAAGATCTGGTTGTTGAAAATTGTGTGGCACCTTCCCCCACCACTCTCTCTCTCCCTTGCTACTGCTTTTGCCATGGGATGTGCCTGCTCTCCCTTTGACTTCCACCACGATTATAAGCTTCCGGAGGTCTCCATAGAACCAGAGCAGATGCCAGCACCATGCTTCCTGAAGAGATTACAGAACCATGAGCCAATTAAACCTCTTTTCTTTAGAAATTACCCAGTCTCAGGTATTTCTTTTTTTTTTAAATTTTATTATTATTATACTTTAAGTTTTAGGGTATATGTGCACAACGTGTAGGTTTGTTACACATGTATACATGTGCCATGTTGGTGTGCTGCACCCATTAACTCTTCAATTAGCATTAGGTATATCTCCTAATGCTATCCCTCCCCCCTTCCCCCACCCCACAACAGTCCCCCGTGTGTGATGTTCCCCTTCTGTGTCCATGTGTTCTCATTGTTCAATTCCCACCTATGAGTGAGAACATGTGGTGTTTGGTTTTTTGTCCTTGTGATAGTTTGCTGAGAATGATGGTTTCCAGTTTCATCCATGTCCCTATAAAGGACATGAACTCATCCTTTTTTATGGCTGTATAGTATTCCATGGTGTATATGTGCCACATTTTCTTAATCCAGACTATCGTTGTTGGACATTTAGGTTGGTTCCAAGTCTTTGCTATTGTGAATAATGCCACAATAAACATATGTGTGCATGTGTCTTTATAGCAGCATGATTTATAATCCTTTGGGTATATACCCAGTAATGGGATGGCTGGGTCAAATGGTATTTCTAGTTCTAGATCCCTGAGGAATCGCCACACTGACTTCCACAGTGGTTGAACTAGCTTACAGTCCCACCAACAGTGTAAAAGTGTTCCTATTTCTCCACATCCTCTCCAGCACCTGTTGTTTCCTGACTTTTTAATGATTGCCATTCTAACTGGTGTGAGATGGTATCTCATTGTGGTTTTGATTTGCATTTCTCTGATGGCCAGTGATGATGAGCATTTTTTCATGTGTTTTTTGGCTGCATAAATATCTTCTTTTGAGAAGTGTCTGTTCATGTCCTTCGCCCACTTTTTGATGGGGTTGTTTGTTTTTTCTTGTAAATTTGTTTGAGTTCATTGTAGATTCTGGATATTAGCCCTTTGTCAGATGAGTAGGTTGCAAAAATTCTTTACAGTAATGTGCTCTAATACAAAGAGATGAGCGAGAAAATGATGAAAAGATAAGAGAAGATTCAACACTTGTATACTAGGAATCTCCCAGTGAGACAGAGGAGGGATAGAACTTTGGGTTCAGATCACCTCTACTAGAGCATTATTTCATGCAGTCACACTAGTCACCAGACCTTGCACCACTGTAAGGTGATGGCAGCATCACCTCACTCATGCCATCCCCACTGACCACAAGACTGTGCAAGCTATAAGTTACCTAGAGAAACTAAGATGAGGGACATTCTACCATACATCTTACTCAAGGAAGTTGGCCCCCAATACCCACATGCACAGAAGGCTAAAAAAATGACTGTGGTGGCAGGCGCCTGTAGTCCCAGCTACTCAGGAGGCTGAGGCAGGAGAATGGTGTGAACCCAGGAGGCGGTGCTTGCAGTGAGCCCAGATCACGCCACTGCACTCCAGCTTGGGCAACAGAGTGAGACTCTGTCTCAAAAAAAAAAAAAAATCACACGGAGATGTAACATGTTAATGAGACGTGTGACACATGAAGAAGCAAGTCATCAAACTGTGCAAATGCTATAAATTCCCATTTCTACATGCTTTAATGTCACTCCTTTCATGGCTAGGCCTGTTAAAATTACTCTCTTGGCTATCTCCAGGGAGGCAGCAAGAGCACTTTCTCTTTTCCGGGCTGCTTTCCTTGTGCTCCAGCATAAGTTCCAATAACGCCTGGAGTCTGGGAAATTTTCTTAGCCTTCTGTCAGTTTCTATTGCACAAGAGCATAAGAACTTGTGGCCAGTAACACCAGAATAGATGCCACATTAATAAAAAAAAAAAAGTCTAGAATTAAAAAAAAAATCCCTAAATGAGACTTGAACAGTTATACTACATATATAGAAAATGACCCAGAATTGCCAACATGTAGAAATACATTGACAAAAATACTGAACTCTAAAGAAAAAATAAAGGCAATTATTTGGAAATTCAGAAATAAGACCAGTTTGTCATTACACATTTTTTTACAGTAATGCTTCAAAGAATAAGAAAATGGAATGAAAAATTTAATTTAAAAAAAGAAAATGAGTCAAGTTATCCAGTCAAATTGGTCTTCAATGTTAAAGCCCTAAGATAAGCTTTTCTTAATGCACCAAAACATAGGAAATAGTGTCTCTATAATCCTGCATCAAGGACTTTACTTGGGAATGGGTTACTGATAACAAAATGACTGAATTGTGTTATTAAGAGGGATAAAACAATATCACTTTCAATTAGATGTGTGGGAAAATATAAGAGATGAAGCAGAAGCATTGCTCACAACAGGAAACATATGAGCAGTGCAAAAAAAAAGTGTACCATGTAATGTAAAAGTAAGTCGTAGAACAAATGTGGGCAAACTACAGCCCTTTGGTCAAATCCAGCCCACAGACAGCCTGTTTTAGTAAAATGAATTTTATGGGAGCATAGCCAAACCCTTTGGTTTACGTATTATCTCTTCTTGCTTTTAAGCTACAGCAGAGTAGAGTAGTTCCGACAGAGACCATATGACCCAGAAAACTAAACATATTTGTCATCTCAGTATTCCCATTTTGAGTATGATAGTGAATCAACTCATTATTTTGAAAATCAATAATAAAAGGAAAGAATAAAGTTTTTTTTTCTTGTTTTTCCTATAGTTGGTGGACCTCAGGGTTACTGAGTATTTGCTATGGAGACGTTTTTCTTTATAAAAATATTTTGGCTAATGAATATAGAAGTAATAAAAATAAAAAAATAATGGATTTAGAAAATTACTATTGGTGGTTGCTACTATCTATATCACAAAAAGAGAATCAAAGAGATTTAATGTTTAAGGAAGGAGTGAATATCACCTATGATTTATTTGTTTAAAAACAAACCAAAAATAACCTGGATATGATCAAGCCTCCAGATCTAACTACTTATTTCCTGGAAATTAAGGAAGCAGAAAGAATATGAAATGACCACTTGGAGAGACAGTCATCAATCCAGGCTTCAGAAATGTGGTTTCTTGCACAAATAAATATCAAGGTGAATAAAAGAGCGTAGTGGTGAAGCCTACAGATTAAAAGAGACTTAACAGACCTATCAACCAATGGCAATGTATAGACCTTATTTTGATTCTGATGTAAATAAATGTTCAATGTGAACTGGATATGTTTAATATGAACTATGTTTAATACCAACTGGATATATATTGATATCAAATAATTTGTTACTTTTGGCAGCAGTAATCATGATATTTTAATTGTTTTAAGAGTCCTTAAGATATACATATCAAAATATTTACAGATTGAATGTTATGACTCTGACCTGCTTCAAAATAATGCAATAGTGGGTAGTTGAGAGCATAGAGGAACAACTATTTCCCAGGGCGTGATTATGTTGAATTAGGGAGTTGATACATGGAGGTTCACCGTAATATTCTCTGTAATTTTTGTATGTTTGAAATGTTCCAAGTAAAATGTTAAAATATTTAAATATTCCTAGTGTTAAACTTATGAAATTAGCTCTAAAATTTTACATTTTAATTAATTTGCATTTAAATATTAAATCTAATCACATCATGGTTGCACAATTTACTTTGAAAATAATTTCATTAACAAATTTTTGGTAAAGAAGTCACAATAAAATACTTCTTTAATGAATTACACTTCTGATTTTTATTATCCTTATTCAAATGATATGTGGTAGGGCAACTAATTCTGCTGCAGAGATGAATATTTAGCTAACTAATTAACCTCAATTTACATAATGGTTGTATTTGCATAACTAATGGGCTGGGGATTGACTATAGGCCATTAACAGTTATTAATTAATGAGATTGAATTAGAAATATATGGGTTTTTATTTCAAACTTAGGAGGCAAAGGTCAATCATAAAAGGTTAATAACAATATTCAAAGAATCAGGCAGTAAATATTTTAGCTTTTAGACTTCATGCATTTCTGACAGGATAATTCAGGAATTGGTTTCACCTCTACATGCATACTGGGGCACATGGAAGTATACACATGTGCATTAGAGAAACTTTTATTAGCCTCAGATTTACATGTAAATTAAAGTAATGGGAGCTAGTTGTATTCACATATAAGAACTTAATGCACCTCTATTCATAAAAATCACAGGTATCACTTGAGAAAGTTCTACAACCTAAAATTTTTCTTTCTTAAACTGTTCATTTGTTTCAAGGAAAGAGTGCAGGTACACTTTTCAATTAATCTTCCTCATTTTTGCATTTGCAATAAAATAGGTTACATTATATAATTTAGAGTTACTCCAACCTTTCCACTCCTCATTTATCCAATTCAGTTTACAATTGGAAGCATCCTCTATATTTTTAAAAACATAATTGCCTGTAGTTTAAAGATTTTAGAAACTCAAAGAATTCATCTGCTATTTTTAAACAATTTAATTATGTGAGTGATGCATAATTATTGAGGACAATTCAATTCCTTTAATTTCAAAGACACCTGTATAATCTGATTTTTCAAATGATTTGGTTGTATCTCTACAAGGAACTGAGCAGCTCTCTACACTGAATCAGTAAATGAGGTTCACGATAAATGAAAAGGAGTGATTTCTTTTTATGATCAACTGCCAAACTGATACAGAAAATTCTGTCCTGCATCTTCTGCCTGTTGCTCCTGTCTTGCTTTCTTTTCTCTCACACTGCCTGGGTTCTTGCTTTATGCCTCTGCCCTCTTCTTTTTCCCTCTTCTCCCTTCTAAGAACGCTCGCTTGCTGAAATGCCTTGAAATGATGTCCAGGGATAGTCCCTGGGTGAATGTTTCAGATCCTGTTTCTCATTTCACACTCTGTCTGGGCCTCTATTCTATTAATAGTTAACTTAAACTGGATTATCTTGAGTCTTCTAGATTTTAAAAGGGTTGCTCTGATTACAAAAAGATGATTGCTTAAATGCAAAAGAGTATTACCTCAATAGATGGGAAAAGAATAGCATTTATTGCATTATTGATAACATCTTTAAATCTGTGTCAGTTCCCTTCACAAATTGGCTTTTATATGCTTCTCTGTGGGGGTAAACTATATGCCACAGAAATGTTGAAGTTCGGAGTCACAGAACGTGGGCTTAAATCTGTGACGCTTTGTTTACTGTCATTTAAAAAAATAACCTTTTTAATTATTAACAAAATCTTGCCTTTGTAAAACAGGGTAGTAATTCTCATTTCATAGATTAAAAGTGTAGGTTAAAAAGTGTAAATTAAAAATGAAAAATGATGCTACATATAAATTACAATAAATGTTAGTCGCTAATTTTAAGATGATTTTTTCTTTTCTCGAAGAAAATATGTAAATACAAGAAGCCACACAATTCAGGCAATTTCTAGAAGTCATTCATTAAAAATATCTATTTCCCAAGGTTTATCCAGAGCTTCACAGTGGGACTAAGTTTTATTATTTAACATACACAGACAATGGTGGTATTTTAACAATATTGGATACACAATTTGAAAACGGTGTTTTATTATCTCGACATTTCAGGAGTATGAAATCACTCCCTGCCTTGTCATATATTAGCTGTTTAAACGAATAGGCAATCATCTCAGAGTATTAATGATCTTTCTATGTTGTCCACTGAGAATGATATTTTAGACATAGGTATTTCATTTAAAAAATTAGCAGAGACACCATACAATTCTGGTAAAAGCTTTAAGTAGTATAACTTACTTTTTGAAGGAACTCGGAGATTGGCAAGGACCACTTCCAGGGAATCAGCTTGGACTCGAAGTACATAGCTTGTCCTGGTCTCATAATCCAGAGGTCCATTCACATAGATAACACCTGTGATGTTATTAATTCCAAATGTATCTAGAAATTAAAATACAATTACCTGGTCATTGTCTTTACGCTATAAGGAAAGAAATTCTCTTTAAAAGGCACTGTGATTTCAAAAACACTAAAAATGCCTATTTATAACTAGAGTGATGCATGAAAGTGACAAAATGCTGGCTTTTGGAAACTGTTCCAGCTCTTTGAATGATCAACATCAATACTTCGCTAAAGTCTGCCTTGAAATTGTAGGGTTTTTTTGTTTTTGTTGTTTTGAGATAATCCTGGAAAACAAAGTTCTATGGTCAATTACATTTGGGAAACACTGAATAATATATTCTTTACCTTAGATTCAGATGGTCTTCTGTCACACTAAAGGCTTTCAGAAGTTGTTTCAAAGAAAACCATCTAATTTTGTTTAACCAAAATTTTCTGAACTTACTGGATTATTATACTCTTTGTAATTTATGAATATTATTATTTTGTAGATTTAGTGTTTTGCTAAGAACACTTGAGAGAAAATAAAAAAATGGATAATTTAATGTTGCCCTGTGTCTGTTTATTTAAATAAATTTGAATGAAAATCAGGGCACTTTGGTAAACTTTATAATATCTCCCCCTCTTATGCTCTCCATATTCTCTCCTTACTTTATTTTTTCATGTAATTAATAATCCCTTATAATACTATATATTTCTTTGTTTAATAATTTTTATTATTAATCTCCGCTTACTGGACCATTAACTTCCATGAGGGCAGGAATCTATTTTGTACATTGTTCTATCTGTAGTGGCTAGAAGAGTAGTTAATACATAATAGATGCTCAGTACATATTTGTTGAATAAATAAATAAATGTACAACAGTCACTGTGGGGGACAGACGTTAATAAATATAGCCACTCTGCTGTCTTCAAAGAAAAGGACAAATAGAATCAAAAGAGAAAGTTTCGGGACGGAACAGGTTGAGAAATCATAGCTTTAGTCAGATGTTCGAAGTCCAAGGAAAAAGGAAATTTAGTTATTTTTAGGGAGGACACATAGTAGCACAGTAATAATGTAGAAAGAAAGGCAATAAAAGTAAGATATTGACCACTTGCTACACTACACGGGCAGCAATACCTAGTAATAGTTTGTCATTAAAAAGCTTAACAGGGCCTTTATAATTTCCTTGCAAACTCTTTTACATTCACTCATTTCTTTAATATTTACTATTGATTAACTTATTACATGTATATTAACTATTTCCTGACTACCTACAATATACTAGGCTATCTAACATACCAAAAGGGAAAACAGAGGAGAACTTGTGGAGAACAGGTAAAACAAAAATTAATGCGAAAGATTGAGCTATGACCTTATTCCCAGAGGCCTGCAAATTCCTATGATTCTTAAATTACAAAAACTTATATTTTTATTTTTAATCATGAATTGTATGTCTAATTTGACTATTTTGGGAATCATATAACATGCATAGCTTTTAACATGGATGTGACTCTTTTTAAAATTCACAACTTATTTACAACCTTGAAGTTCCTTCAGGATTAGTTAAGGTATGACCAACATGGAGTAAGGGTCATGGATGGTTCAGACACTGGGGCGGACGAAGCTACTGTAGGCAATGATCATGGCCAAAAGCTGAAAATTTCATGATGCATTAATTTTGAGGAAATGTCATTAAAATATTACCAAATGAGGAAAAGGGCAAGGTTTCATTAATTAGATACTTAATATTTCTTAAGGTACTTAATATTTCTTAAGGGAAAAAATCACTTTAGCTAACATCACTGGATTTTTAATCGAGTTCAGGATACATGGTTAACAATTACATTTAAGATGGGCACAATTTTATTAGAAAACAATAGAATAGATAATAATTTCAATTCAATCTGAAATTAGGCCAAATCTAAGTTTACTGGTTGATGGTGAGAACACAAACTAAAAGTCTACTCACCTTCTTCATTTCCTGAAACAATGGAGTACACAATACTTTGATTAATGGCAGCAGCAGAAATTACACCAACCATGGTCCCTTTGGTGGCAAGTTCACTTACTGGAGGAGGTCTGCAGGTTTAGAGAAGATGATGTATTTATTTTTAAATATAATTTTTGATGTAACTTTACGTTCACAGAAAAATTGAGAGAAAGATAAGAGATTTCTGATATACCCTCTGCCCTCACACATTCATGGCCTCCTCCATGATCAAATCCCCCACCCAACTGCTACCTTTGTGATAAATGATGAACCTACATTGACCCATTATCACTGAAAGTCCATCATTTACATGAGGGTGCATATTGTTGTTGTACATTTTATGAGTTTGGACAAATGTGTAATGGCATGTATCCGCTTTCATGTAGTATCATATAGGGTATTCTCACTGTTCTGAAAATCCTCTGTGCCCTGTATATTCATCCCTCCCCTCAACTCAACCTCTGGCAACCACTGATCTTTGTAGTGTCTCTATGGTTTTGCCTTTTCCAGAATGTTGTATAGCTGGAATCACACAGTATGTAACCTTTTCAGATTGCCTTCTTTCACTTAGTAATATGCATTTAATGCTCCTCAACATCTATGGCTTGATTGCTTATTTCATTTTTAGCACTACATAATATTTCGCGGTCTGAATGTACCCACAGTTTATTTCCATAAATAAAAAACATCTTGGTTGCTTCCAAGTTTTGGCAATTATGACTAAAGCCACTATAAACATCTGTGTGTAGGTTTTTGTGACTCTAAGATTTCAACTCTTCTGGGTAAATACTAATTAGCATGATTACTGGATTTTATAGTAAGACTGTTTAGTCTTTTAAGCAACTGCCAAACTGTCTTCCAAACTGACTGTACCATTTTGTATTCTCACCAACAATAAATGAGAGTTGCTGTTGCCCCATATTCTAACCAGCTTTTGGTGCTGTCAATAGTCTGGATTTCAGACATTCTAATAGGTGTGTGGTGGTATTTATTTTTATTTTTTTATCCATATTTATGACAGAGTTTTGAACTTAATAGAAGAATGTACACGGTAGTTCTTCCAAGCTACATTATGCAATTACATTGTGCTTTCATTGAAACCTTTTACAAAAAATCCTGAAATACAAATTTAGTCTGAAGTATAGGCTTTATAAATATCTGGTCCAAATTGCTTTGTTTTTGGTACTGCTGTCCATACACTTAATTGACTAGGTTATCTAAATGTAAAGCAGTCTTTCTCACAGATACTCTAGCACCTAATGGTGGTCCATATATTCATTGCATGAGCAATAACTGCTTCTTGCTGAAGAATAAGAACCAATCTGTATCATTTTAAAATGAAGTGTGTAAAGTAGATATTTAATTTACTAGTTTATTTACTTACTTATTTTACTGTCCTGCATTTTCTTTTTGCTTTCTTTTGATAACATCCAAATATTGTTTTCAATAATCTTGCCTCTTTCCTTCTCTGTACAAGTGCTTTGGGTAAGGCTTTGCCAATCCCCATGGTACATGCATAAGCACATTAACCAACTCTGGTCAATGGGGGCATTTTATCCTTTGCTCAGTGTTCATGTGATGTATACGTCTCATGTAAATTCAATGGACATACTACATAAGATTATGACTTGACTAGATTCTCGCTAGCCAACTTTTTGGGTATATCCCTCACTGGATTTGATGAAGTAAGCTGCCATATGGAGCAGTCCTCGTGGCAAGAAACTCAAGGTGATGGCTGACTAACAGCCAGCAAGGAATCGAGGCCCTTAGTCCAACATCCCACAAGAAACTGATTTCTGCCAACAACCACATGTACTTGGAAGTGGATCTTTCTGCAGTTGAGCCTCAGATGAGACCGTAGCCCTGGATGACACCTTGATTAAAAGATTATGTAAGTCCAAAAAGGAGAGGACACAGCTAACCCATGCCTGGATTCCTGACCTATAGGAAATTCAAAATGATATATGTGTTGTTTTAACCCATTAAGTTCATGGTAATATTATTATGCCACAACACAAAACTAATATTTGAACAATGGATTGTTAATTTATGACAGATCAAGATACATACTACTTATCAAAAGTTTAATACAAGAAAATATGTCAGTCATATTAGGGGATAATTTTCAAAAACTGAATTCCTATTTGTGGAAGTAGACATTACTTAAATTGTTTACTTGTCTATCTTGTTACTGCACAAGATAGAAGCTAAATTTTATACTTTCCATAATTCATCTGTTTGCTATTCCTTATACAGTATGGAAACAAGACGTCTGCAACTTATGCACCTTTAGCTTTAACATGAGAAAAATGCTATGTCGGGCCGGGCGCGGTGGCTCACTCCTGTAATCCCAGCACTTTTGGAGGCTGAGCCGGGTGAATCCCCTGAGGTCAGGAGTTCAAGACCAGCCTCACCAATATCTCTACTAAAAATATAAAAATTAGCCGGTTGTGGTGGTGTGCTCCTATAGTCCCAGCTACTCGGGAGGATGAGACATGAGAATTGCTTGAACCTGGGAGGCGGAGGTTGCAATGAGCCAAGATCACGCCACTGCACTACAGTCTGGGCAACAGAGCGAGTTTAAATCTCAAAAAAACAAAAACAAACAAACAAACAAAAAAAACAAAACAGAAAAGAAAAATGCTATGTCTTCTTTCAAATATTAAAAAATGCACGTGTACATTTTTGCTAACCTTAACTGCACAATTAGGATAGAAATAATACTAAAAAAAGTAATTGGCATAATTTAAGAAGACATTTAAATCCTATGCATACCACTAAAAGCATTTAAAATTCTATTTGTTAGTAAATGTTTACAACAGATTTACTTCTAGACAAAATTTCTCCTCATTAACCTTTGTCTTAATTGTTCCAGTACACTTGTTTCTATCAGAACTAAAACACTATACAAATACAATCTTCTCCCAAAAAGAATTAAATGAACCTCCATGATAATGAGCATTAGATTAAAAATATCAATTATTTTCTATTTTTTGGCAGGATTACAATGTACAATATTAATAAAAATAATATTATTTTATTATTGTTTTAGGTTGTGGAAAGTACCAGTTACATGATGGAGGCAAATTGCATACTCTCTTTGGAGTCACATATGTCTTGAATACAAATGATGGAGTTGGTATAAATCAGGATTCATTAAGCCAGATGGACAGAGAAGGTAGGAACATAACCAAATTGAATAAAATGGGCTGAATATAAATTAATAGGGAGAGGAATGGAAGTTAGGAATGAGAGAGTATGTAACTACTGTACAATAATTCAAGTCTGGTGTGATTTGTAAATCAATAAAGGAAATTGAAAATTTTGTATATGTTTATGAACGATCAATGGGAATTTATTTTTTTAAAGCATCAATGACTACATTTGATCTATGGGCTGTCAGTTTACGATTTTTAAAGCAGATTAACTATCTCTAATGTCTTTTCTAGTTCTACCATTCTGAACCTGATATAATGTGAGTTATCATTCACTCTTCTTTCTGTTGAGTATAATCAAAATCTATTGCTCAATTTCAGAAGCAATGAATTATGGCCAAATGAAACATTTCTCAGAAGGTTTTCTAAAAAAATATTTTCTCTATTAAATTCATAAATCTTCAATTCATCCATTTATGAAAAAAATGCATCACTAGCTCTCTTCCAATTTAAGCTTTTCGCACCTGATTTATAACAAATAATTGTGAGTGTCTGAAATGGAAGAATACTATCTTTCAAAGCTAAATTTACTGCCAATACAACTGACAAACTGCACTCTTAAAAGAAACACTTGAAACAGCTTCAGTAATGGAACTATACAGCTTACTGATGTAGCTTGAGATAGATACCAACTAGATGGCCATTTTCCAAAGATGGCTAAGAGGATGCTAAAGGAAATGGTTATTTAGCAGATATGAACTGGAACATGGGAGAGGCTAGTGGTTTCATGTTTTCATAATGGCCTTCAGTAAGGGCTTCCTCAAAGGCCCTTTCACAAGGCTTGACCTGAATTGGGTTTGATGTCCTTGCATATCCATGATGGCAGTGTTGGTTCCTATTTACTCCACAACGGCAATGCTTCTAACTTTCTTGGCCGTTTTAAACAAAATCTACAGGCTTTGACTAAAATTCCAAAATCACCTCAACTAAAACTGAAATAGAATCCGAAATAATATTTGTTTTATAAATATATTTCCTCATTGTTACTATTTGCATTATCCTTACCTTCTAAATTTTACATGTAAAACAGCTGTGTATTTTCAAAATTAATAATATTTTTGTTTTTAATAAAAATGTTATTGAGAAATAAATTAAGATAAAAATACTGGCACAATGCCTATGCATTTCAGTATATTTATACTTCCTCCCAGAAAAGTTCAATGGTCTCAGAATTTTTTGTATTCTTATTTATTTTTTAATTGGCAAATAGAAATTTTATATACTTATGGTGTACAACATGATGTTTTGAAATACGTATACACTGTAGAATGGCTAAATTAAACTACCATTTGACTACCTCACAAGTTTATTAGTGGTGAGAACATGTAAAATCTATTCCCTTAGCAATGTACAATATTGTACATTGTTGTCAACTATGGTCACCATGTTGTAAAAGAAATCTCTTCAATTTATTCTTCTAACAGAAATTTTGTATCTTTTGACAAATATCTCCCCAATCCTTCCCTTCCTACCCAGCCCCATGTAACCATTTTTTTACGCTCTACTTTCATGAGTTCAGCTGTTTTAGATTCCATATATATTAGCTTTATTAGATCACTATTAGAACATGCAGTTTTTTTCTCTGTGCCTGATGCATTTTAGTTAACATAATGTCCTCCAGATTTGAGACAAATGAACGTATTTGAGACAAAATAGAATACTAAAGTCTAGGTTCATTCACATTGTCCCAAATAAAAGAATTCCCTTCATTTTTAAGGCTGAGTAATATTTCATTGTATATATATATATATATATATATATATATATATATATATATATATCACATTTTCTTTATCCATTCATTCACTGATAGATATTTTGTTTGACTCCATATCCTATTATAAATAATGCTGCAATAATCATGGGAGTGCAGATATCTCTTCCACCAATAGCCTGATTTAAAAATGGACCAAGGAGCAGAATAGATAGTTCCAAAAGAAGACATACAAATGACCAGTAAATATGTGAAAAAAATGTTCAATATGAGTAATGATCAGAAAAATAAAAGTTAAATCTACAATGAGATATCACCTCACATCTATTAGAGTAACTATTAATAAATCCACTTCATATAACTTGTGTGTGAATATGTCTCTCACCAGGTTCAGGCACTGGTAATACTGCAGCCCAGAATGCAGTGGAGGGAAGCATTTGAGTTCCTATTCCGGCTGGTTCACATAGTGACACTGTGTGCTATCTTCCACACGGTGAGAGTTTTCCCTTAGGATCAGTTATTAGTGAACTTCCTTCACACTGACCTAAAATGTTTCTGTTTTTCGTCTACTCATCTCACTTTTCACCTGAACCCCTGGTAACCAATGATCTTTTTACTGCCTCTATATGTTTAACTTTTCTAGAATGTCACATGGATGAAATCATACAGTATGTAGTTTTTTTGGACTGGCCTCTTTCCTTATCAATATGTGCTTAAGTTTCCTCTATGTCTTTTTGTATTGTGATATCTCATTTCACTTTATTGCTGAATAATATTACAATGTATTGGATGTATCACAAATAACTGCACTTTTGTAAGAAGAAAACTGATCAAAATAACTCCAAAATGGTTTAAAGTAAATATTTGCAGATTAAATGCAAACCGAAAAAGTTAACTGCTTTGGAATTCGCATGCACAATACTTACAATATAACCTCATGAAGATATAAACTAATTCATACATATCCTTTTTGTTTTGTTTAGACGGAGTCTCGCTCTATCGCCCAGACTGGAGTGCAGTGGCGCGATCTCGGCTCACTGCAACCTGTGGCTCCCACGTTCAAGCAATTCTCTGCCTCAGCCTCCTGAGTAGCTGGGATTACAGGCGCCCACCACCACACCTGGCTAATTTTTTGTATTTTTAGTAGAGATGAGGTTTCACCACCTTGGCCAGGCTGGTCTTGAACTCCTGACCTCATGATCCACCCATCTCGGCCTCTCAAAGTGCAGGATTACAGGTGTGAACCACCGCACCTGGCCCATATATATCCTTTTAATATTTCTAAGTGTTTTTTGAAAATATAGATTACAATAAATCTTTCAACTGAGTATATATTAACTAATTTTCTGAATAATGACTATAGTAGAATAACATAATTTGCAATGTCTAAATGTTAGACCCAGTTTTTACCGTATAAATATAGATGAAACAATTACAATTTAAAATCTACTTTTATTGTTGAGTTCAAGAAGTAACAATAAAAGTAAATGTTGTATGTGTCAAATAAAGCTTCTAATTATTTTAAAAGCCAGGCAATTTAGGATATAAAAGTGTTTGTAAATAGATGCTATAAAATTTCACTAGGATTCAATCTGGCTCTATTGCTTTCTTTGTACTAAGAGACAAATCTAATTTATTTTGACATGTTTGAGTTCAATATATTTGCAAATCAGTACCAATTAAGATACTGTTTTTCTACCTACTATGAGAGGATTTAATAAAAATGGGAAGGGAAGAATAAAAAAAAAACACCCACTAGAACTCCGATTATTTATAATCTT
The DNA here is from genome assembly GCF_000001405.40 of Homo sapiens. Classification (NCBI taxonomy): domain Eukaryota; kingdom Metazoa; phylum Chordata; class Mammalia; order Primates; family Hominidae; genus Homo; species Homo sapiens. The sequence continues at coordinate 53,947,597 of NC_000010.11, forward strand.
GGAGTAATTGCATCAGAGTGATCTAATTTTACATATTTAAATAAGAAAAACAGTTTAAAAAAGACATGAATCAGGAGAGAGATGCTAGTTCTTCCAGAATACTTAGGATGGATTTTAGATAAGAAAATTAATGAAGGGCCAAAAGACTAGACACTGCTTTTTACGTATGTTCCAAAGAATGCGTGCTTTCTGTCACTAAGAGTTTTGCTTCTATTCAGTTCCTTAAAGAATCTTCATCTGGAGGATACAAAAACTGAAGTATAAACAATTTATCCAAATATTTGAAAGCAAAAACTGCAATCTAAGGTGTTTGGTTTTTCCTTTGCTTAAATTATTATATTGTTCTCATTAAAATAGTGTGTTCTAATCTCTCATAGTCATTGGCTCTTAAAGCTTAAATCCATAAGAATGCGCTGGAGAAATTTTTTAAACTTACTAAAGTACAGAAGATCCCTGATTTATGATGGTTTGACTTTCGGTTTTTTACTTTACTATGGGTATGAAAGTAATATACATTCAGTATGCTCCTGGACTTACAACGGGGTTAGGTCCTGATAAACCCATCCCTGTTTGTCTACTGCCCTACCTTAATTATTATAGAGGGCCCTTCTCACTCTCAAAAGTGCCCTGCTTTGGACAATAAATTATATGGTCTTACCTATGCTGGAAACTATATGGATATATTAAAGTAGCAAATTTATTCCTCTCGCTTGAAAATTTACAATTTTTTTTTAGTGAGACCGAGTGTACAGGTAATCAGAATTCTGTTTTGAATTATACATTATTTGACATTAATATAGTAATTTCTGCTTTCCCTTGTTTGTAATTGCCAGATATACATTTTCTGTTCACTCTATTTTTGTGCATGTGATTTTGGTTTAAGTACATTACTTAATGGCATAAAATCATGTGTGAAAAGTTTACCAGAGGTAAAAAGCATTCTTAGAAGATTAAGTAAATGGCACAGCTATTAAGCACCGGAGGAGTTGGGAAATGAATGACTTATCCATTATAAATTGGTGATAAAAATGTGATGATTTTGAATCAAGATTTAAATAGTATAAAATTCTACTTTCCATGGAGATTGTGGAAGCACAAAGTGACTTCCATTAAGAGGATATGCATATGTCATTTGCCTGTTTAACACCATTCAATGTCTTCAAATTTCTCTGTGATAATGAACAAAGTTTTTAGTATGACTCAGTAAGTCCCTTCACAGTCCAACTCTCCCTACTTCTCCAGACTCATCACCATAGGACTCCATTTAGTATGCTATTTTGTCTCAAATATGTTTGCATTGATTACTAATAAAATAAAATTAATGTATCCTACTGTATGTTTTACTTGGATCAAAATTTCCCATAGATACAATACAATGAAATAATGGGACGTATAAAATCACTCTTTGTATTGAAAAGTTTGTGCTAAATTCTAAACAGTGGATGTAAGTTGAACTGTTTGGACTTGAGTCCTTTGTTGAAGGAAGACTTGCTTCACTCTGCTACATGAGCAAATGCCAAAATGTGTATAACCTTGGAAATGTGAAAGAGAAATTAAATTCCATGTAGGTGCACAGGGAACCTATCAAAACTGTAATGAAAGATTGTCAGAATCATTTTGTCAATAGTTAAATGGGCGAAACCTATTATGTTTGAGGCAAGGTTTTAATAGTGCCATAAAAAGACAGGAAAGGCTATCTTCAGGTAAAGCCAGCTCTTACATTGGACAACAAATCTAAATTAAAATAGAAAACAATTTTAGCAATCGAGTTATGCTCTCTGCATATGCATTTGTTTTACATTATTTTAATAGTCTTCAGACAGCTTTCATTAACTTATTTGCAATCAAGACAAATCATTCTTTCCAAACTATTGTTCATCTTATTAAAATCTTTTCTCAAAATCTGTAAGTCCAAACTTGGAAGGTTTTATAAGAATGATAGCCTGGGCAATATAGCAAGACACTGTCACTACAAAATAATTAAAAAAAAAATTAGCTGGGCATGGTGGCATGCACCTAAAGTCGCAGCTACTTAGGAGGCTGAGGGCTGAGATGGAAGATTGCTTGCAGTGAGCTATGACCGAGCCATTGCACCACAGCCTGGAAGACAGAATGAGATCTTGTCTCTAAAAAGAAAAAAAAAATGATGGCTATGTTCCTCAACATAAGGTAATTTTAATTCTCTTTAATAATGAAATGTTAACTAGACCTGCTCACTTGCTATTTCTTTGGCCACTGTGATAATATTACTTGCATTTTCATAGTTTACAAAAATGAATGCCTTGATTATAAATTATACTTTTTCTGTTTTGTATATCAAGAGGTATAATGCTAATCCTTTGTTAAATATACTCTAATTTTATTCTTTAATATAAAGCTTCTTGAGAAACTTATTTTAAGTATAAATTGTGTAAAACTTTCAACCTGTCATTTATTACAAAACTAATTCGTATGAATCAACCAACTAGCAATTTTTTATTTTAACAGAGAAAGTGGTAAGATTATCTTTTGAAGAAGAGTTAAAGTTTTTCAAAATTTCAGAATGTTCACATGTATAATATTCTGATTTTGAATTTGATATATTAAATTTTAATAATAATAGAAATTGAAAAGGACTTATAGTATATTCTCTGAGTTTAGCAATATATCAACTTAAGAGGTTAACAAATATAACTTAGGGATATTTGCCCTTATTTTATTATATATATACCAGTATAAATTTTGAATTTAGGTTGTTATGGAAATTACACTTGCAAATATACAAATCTTAAAAATTAACATGAATGTGACACTAAATCATGCAATGGTTAATATTCAAGTTGATACATTTCCATTTTTAAATAAAAAACAAAGGCCTACCTATATAGGTGGCATATATCTTTGAAAATTTTGCAATTAATTGTATTTGGCAAATTTTTTGATAAATTGTGTAATATAATGCATTTCCCACTCAAAATCAATATTCACATTTAGACTCTATGATCTATTCCAGACGTGTTGACCTTTTCATGATATTTACTTTTAAAACTGATGACAAGTGAATTTCAGTGTGTATAAGTCTTAGTCCATCATCCTGAAATGAAGGTCAAATGTCATTCTCATTCTTCAGAAGGCTAACTTACTTCACCTATGGGAGTCAATGTAATCTCAAGTAGTATGTGTTTGAACTACTATTAGGATTTTGCTATTTCTGTAGGGTTTAAATGAAAGATATATAAAAGGAATTTAATGACTCTGACATTGTAACTAATTTCTAAAATATATAAAGAGATAATTGACCGAAAATCTCTTAGTAAATATGAACATGCAGTGACAATGAGAGTATGCCTCTCAGATCTTCAACTACAGGAAGCACAATTGGTCAAGGTCCCAGTTACTGTGGACTGAAATCTGTTTATGTTTGTATGAAGGACATAGTTCCTAAGGGCTGCTTAAGGAGTCAAGTATTGAAATGATTATTAGGCCAACTAAATGATCTCTATAGTCTATTTCATTCATTGCATAATGTGAATTTGAGAAAAGAATTTTTATGAATAAGATTAACACATTTTTCTCAATTTCTAATGAAAAACAAATTGTAGAAAATGATTTAAACAAAGATATGCAATTGTAAATAGATATGAAGAAACTACCTAATCACTTGAATGGTTAAAAAATCAAAGTTTATAATTGGAATATTTCTGTGTAATAGGGATATTACCCGGACTTAATTCATTTCCCTCCCACCCCCACCAAAAAATGAAGCTAGTTGGAGATAATTTTGAGAAAGAGAGGTGGAGGATGTTTCAACAATAAAGAATGAAGAAATGCCATTAGCTTTTTAAGAACTCTTTGTTTAGCTCTTTGTTCAAGGAAAGATAGTAGAGCAAGAAGGAAGAATGATCACATGGGGCATGCAAATTCTAAGACACTAATATCATTGTTATATCTTTGTCAAAAATAGAAACTGAAGGAACCAAATAAAAGAGAAACAATGCATGTGGAAGATTTGTTACAATTTGAGATTTTTGGTCGTGTGTATGCTTCTAAAATATACAAACGTTTGTTTACAGTTGTAGAAAATGTCACAGGATCCTTGGGATGTTGCTTTTCCAGTAGGAAGCCTCTGTGGCTGGTGGCACCTTTACATGAATTTTTTTCAGGCCTACTGGGCTTGTTTCACCCACTCAGCCTGGCAGGCTTCACTTGGCTTCTTCTACCGGCCCAGATCCCATGCCTGCCAAGGGTGAGCCAGGTGCAGAGCAGCAAGGTGGGGATGAGAGTGAGTGTGGGGTCCACCACTGTGCACAGCCAGGCACGCTGGCTGCTGTGGTGGGAAGGGTGGCCCCAGGTGCCAGCACAGATGCCAGCTCCATACAAGCCAGTGGCTGGATCTGGTGCACTGCAAGCAGATTCCACTGAAGGCACCCATGTCTGGATGAGGAGAACGTGGTGGCACCCAGTAGATTGGAGACAACAGAAACCAGAGTCCCAAAGACGGTGTCATAGCCCTGGCTCAGGGAGCTCCTAGGTCTGGGATCCCTGAAGGGCCACTTCGCTTCTCTTCTCTCCTTCTCATTGCCCACAATGTGGCAAGCGGGGAGGCATGTTTCAGCCCTGCTGGTATTACTGCTCTTTCAGTCCTGCCATTCAGCAGGTCCCAAGTTCTTGTCCCACATCTAGGAAGAATTAGGTATATAGCCATCTGAAGGGTGAGCAAGGCAAAGAGGTGCTTCATTGAGCAACAGTACATCTCTCAGGAGACCTGAAATAGGCAGCTCCTATATGCAGGCAGGCTGTCCCGATGTCTGCAGCCCTCAGTGGCGAGGAGACCCAGAGTGGGTAGCTCCTATCCTCAAGCAGGTTGTCCTGATGTCTGCCTGAGTCTGGTTGAGACTGGGGTTTTTATGGGCTTCAGAAGGGAGAAAGTGATATTGCTGATTGGTCCATGGGCAGCCATGGGCAGCCATAGGCAGCCTGGAGAAAGCACCATAAGTTCTCACTCCAGTCCAGGGAACTGGCAGGCTGGGCACCAGCCTTCAGGCAATCCTTGGCTAGAAGGTGGGGTTTCACCAGACCCATCCCTTTCCACCCAGGAGCCTGTCTGCCTTCTGCTGCCATTCATGGCACCCAGGCTGTTTGTGCCCAAGAGGTTCCTGCAGGCCCGCTCCAGGCCACCCCCAGCCCCACCTTGGCTTCTCTCCCATGCTCATTGGTGCCCAAAGTCCAGAGTGGGCTGAGGTGGCAAGGGGCTGGTATGTCAGCACCACATGAGTGTGGGAACACACAGCCAGGTGGTGACAATGCTCGGGGCTTGATGACAGCTTTGCTCTGAAATTGGAGCAGGCCCTGGAAGCAGGGAGAGGCCAGGCATTGGGAGAACACACTTTGAGCATGCAGCAGGAGGGGGGCCCAGGTCCACAGTCTCAGCTGGGTGATTGCACCTGCACCTGAGAGCTCTGGGCTCCAGCCCCTCCAACTCAGAAGTGGGTGGGGCCCCTGCCTGTTCTCAGCTCTCACTGACTCTGCAGAGTGCATAGCCCCAGCTGTGTTTCCCTGGTTGCAGCCAGCGTCTTTGCAGCAAATGCTCCAGACAGGTCGCTGTTGTCATCAAAAGGAATAGTATACAGTATGAAGAGATATATATTTCAAAAGTTTTAAGAAGAACTCATTGTTTTCTGGATAGAACAATTGATCATTAATGACAAATGAAGCACACAATGTCTTGATCCTCCATTTCACCTAAGTGACTCCATAAAAGATTGATGTGAAAAGGTCAAGAAATTAACAAAATGAGTCTGTTTCAATTACTATAACAGCCCTACAAAGCAAAGAGAATCAAGTGTATAGTAATTCTTATCTACTATAACTCTGGCCATTATAAAAGTAAACATATGAGGCAATTTTCTTGCCATTATGTGATTACTCCTACCCTTAATGATTATTGAAAGCCAGCCACCAGGAAATAACATCAGTTCACAGGATTTGAAAAAAAAAATCAAATCTTTTCCCAATACATATAAAATATCTTAATATTATAAATTATAAACCAGAAAAACATCATTTTCCTTGAGAAATGTGTTTTTAAATAATGACAACCTAATTTATTTTATTGAGTATAGGGTTGTCTTTGTAAAATTCTTCAATAATTTTCAAACTTCATTAAGGGAGCATTAGCAGAAAGTAAAGAAGTAATTTTTTTGTTCTGTTTTGTTTTGTTTTGTTTTGTTCTGAGACGAAGTCTTGCTCTGTCACCCAGGCTGGAGTGCAGTGGCGCAATCTCAGCTCACTGCAAGCTCAGCCTCTTGGGTTCATGCCATTCTTCTGCCTCAGCCTCATGAGTAGCTGGGACTATGGGCACCCGCCACCATGCCTGGCTAATTTTTTTGTATTTTTAGTAGAGACAGGGTTTCACCGTGTTAGCCAGGATGGTCTCAATCTCCTGACCTCGTGATCCGCCCATCTAGGCCTCCCAAAGTGCTGGGATTACAGGTGTGAGCAACTGCGCCCGGCTGTAAAGAAGTTTTTAAATATGCAAATGAAACAGAGGCAGAGCATGATTAACTATGTGGAAGAAGGGGCTGGTTTTTTATTATGTTGTTACTTTTACATAAGTCAGAAAGCCTACTAATTATCTGTCATCAAAACTTCACAGGCAAACCAGTAGGTTTTTCCTTTAGTAAATATTAAAGTACTTACTGTGGTGTTTATTACTTGTGTCTATTATTTTGCTATTTTACAATTTTGGAAGAAGACAATGATAGGTCTATTGTTATATTCCAGCAACTAATCAATTACCAATAGAACAACATAGAAGTGCTTTCAATTCTAAAAAAAGAACAATGGATTTTGTTTCTCTGTCTAGCTAGAACTGGTATACTGAAAAACGTATGCCAAATAGTAAATGCGAACTCTGAACCATTTTTGATCAAGGTCTTCACAATGCTAGTTTTCAGCTCATAACTCAAATTTACACTTTGCCATTATGCTTTCATTTTTATTTTCTTTATATTTTACTTCTGTGACCAAGACACTGCAACTTCTCAGAAAACTGGAGAAAGTAATTCATTGTATAAAATATTCAACCTTTAGCTTGAAGTCCAGAAAGGTTTGGCTTGGAATATGTAATGTTAATACTCATTAAACTGAAATCACTAAAAATACAGATTTTTAAAACAACCAGAAATGTTAATCTGAGATTTGCTTTGAATTAAGAAAATAAATATTCATTCTCTTGATATTTTAAGAACAATTTACTTCACTAACGCATATTTAAATGTAAAAATGTTTCTATTCTATCATTAGCTCATGTACCCCATGGTGCATTCTAACTAATCAGTCATTTTAAAATCACTGTGGCAATTAAAATCTATGAATCTGTAAATTGTTTACAATCACATGTTTAATGTGCTAGGTCTTCACCTACACCATTTCCCCTTTTTCCTCAACAACTGAGGTTGAACTAGGACACAGTTGCCTAGCAAGGAACAGCATTCCTCTCCCCTAGTTAGAGCTAAATGTAGACCCGTACCTGGATTCTCACAACGTAATGTGAGCTGAACTGAAATGTGCAATTCTCACCTCACTTGGTTAAGGAAATCTCTAGATGTGGACTTCTGTCTGGTTTCCCCTTTCTGCTGACTAAAATGGTAATAATGAGTTATTTTGAAATAGAGTGTTGAAGATGGTGACCCCTGAGTTGTCCCAGGTCCCTGAACTTTAAACCATTGATATTTGGTGGTTTCCTATTACAGTGACCTAAACTACCCTAACTCAGTCTGATTACCCTGAGATTTAATGATTTAATGACTGTCTAATAGAAATAAGTCAACGGAGTCAGTGACAGAACGGGGACGTATGGGTCAATAATTCAGTTAAACATTCTACGATAAATAAATACTTTATCTTTAAAATCTCTCTTTTATACCTAATCATTTGTTAAATGCTAATTTTTCCTATGGAATTCAAACACAAGTATTGGAACGAAGACATTCCTGAGATGTAAAAGCCATGTGTACCTCAGCTTACAGTGCTAGATTACTGCTTTCCATTTGTAACACATTACCTTCCCCTACACCCTACAAAGAACATAAATCTTGAGCTATCATTTTTATATTTCCCCCAAATTTGATCACAAGAAGTAGAAGTTTTTTCACTAGGAGCAATCCCAACACGAAAGACCATCCTAATAATCAAAAATTAATAATGTCATTTAGCATCTCTGGGAATAATGTGCATCCAGTTGAGGCAGTAAAATGAATTTGAAAAAATTAGAGAAGAATGAGGCATATGAGGTTGGCAGAAACCATTCTGTGCTTCACTTTTTTTCATTAAGAAAGGAAAGTGTGTTGGCCTCTAAAGCAGCCTGAAATGGCATAGGCATATTGCCAAAGCTAGCAATTGAACATATTAAAAGAAAATACCATACAGAAATAAAAATATTCTACCATGAATATTTTCATATTTCCATATATTCATATTTTGCAATATGAATGAGAATGACTTTTAAATATGATTAATTAATTATGCGATTAGTTGTTGGAAACTAATAAAATGTTGAACAACTTATATTAGTTGAAACAACAGTAGCTAATAGGACTAAGCCTGCTCAGGAAATGATGCAGACCACTTAGTTCCATATTTTTTTGGCCAGAAATCAGTCAAACGGCAGAATTCAGAATTCATCCCTAGTTAATAAGGAGAGGAAATGTAATCCAGCTATATGCCCGTGAGAAAAAGGATTTAGGAGGCATCCAGATACTGCTATGTATTTCCTCAATGGTCTTCAAAAAGAATGAAGAGATAATTGAAGATGATAATCATTAGCCTTAAGTTTCTTTATAGTTCAGTTAAAATTTTGGTTCAAATTTAGACCTATATAAACATTTATATTCAATTATTTGCATTTATCCAAAAAGTAGTGTCCTTGTTCATATTTGGCATAACATTTATTTTTCAAATTTTCTGGTTATTTGATAAAAAATTAATCCTTTTAAGTACTCAAGTACTACTAAATGCATTATGATCAAGATACTGATTCTTAGCATCTCTGGGAGTTATGTGTGTACAGTTGTGTATATTATTAATACACAGTAGGATGCAACAAGATTACCAAATTCTCTTTATAACTCAGAATAACAAATGAACTGGGATAATCAAGGGCAATTTTGTAATTGTTAGAATTCTGGAAGATCAAAATTCTCCCACATGTACCCATGTGACTGTTGTTAATTTTAGTACCATATAATTGGCTAACTTTTGCTCTCTAAGTTAACAACAACTTTATTAAGAGAATCTATTTGTAGTTAATAGTTCTATGCAGAGACGGTATGAAATGGTAAATTATACGTTGAACAACACATTCGCATTTTTAAAACATGGCATTAAGCAAAGATACTTAATAAAGAAAGTTAAATGAGCAATGCCCTGTTTCAATTTATGACCTTGGCCTCAATGCCACAATATTTTAGCTAAAAGAGAAGTCTAGAGGCATATTTCTATTGACAAGGAAATGAGCTCTAAATGAAAACCTAGAGAAACAGTACACCACTTAAGTTTATTTAAAGAGGAAGTTTAAGCAATATATCACTTTCTTCTCTTGGAGTTTCCAAAGATAATTAGACTTGCCGCAAGGGGCTTTGAAGAACACAGATGGGAATTTTAAGTTAAAACTGTGAGCGTTTTTTTGGATCCACTTAGAAGACTAAGTATATTTTTTGAGAACACCTGATCTAGATAATTTAGTGAGAAACAAAGTGAGTTTATATCCGTCCTGTTCTTGAGAACTCCAAAATTAACATGTTCAGAGAAGTTCTTCCAAAACAGAAAACTGTGCATAGGAGTCCCCCTTTATTTATGGGGGATATACTCCAAGACCTCCACTAGAAGCCTGGAACTTCAGATGACACCAAAGCCTATATTTACTATGTTTTTTTTTTTTTCCTGATAACCCAGACAGTTACTAAGTGACTGATGGGCAGCCTGGATACAATGGACAAAGGAATGATTCAGCTCCAGGGCAGAGTGACACAGGACAGCACAAGATTTCATCATGATACTCAGAATGCCATACAATTTAAAACTTACGAATTGTTTATTTCTGGAATTTTCCACTTAATATTTTCTGACCACGGTTGACCTCGGGCAACAAACTGTGAAAAATGATACTGTGGATAAGGAGGGGACTACTGTATTCCATAGCAAAGAATTGGAATCCAATCCAAAGGATTGGAAGCACAGGTTACTGTGTCAGAAAAAAAAGGAAAATAATAGATAATAATGTACATGTGGGTGAGAATAACCTTTTAAAACAGATTAAACAAGAATTCTTATTTGTTTTACATATGGTTTACATCTCGATGATTTACATACATGCTATGGAAGATTTTCTGGTAATTATATTACATAATTTAATTTTGTGTAGATTCTTCTAAACGCAGCTTTGTATGAGAGGATGAAACTGCTTGGTTCAGTGGGTTAAGTGCTTGCAGATGTATCCCTCACCTACCTTATTCCTCAGTACCTTAGCTGCTGTTCTAGCTTAAAATTATTAATTCATTCTAAGAAAGTAAAAAACACTAAAGTCATCCTAGAACATGATCAAGTTCTCCATTACCTGAAATATTCATTTTTCATTATCCTCAATTATTATCATCATCCAACTTTCAATTTTTCTTTGGATAGACTAAACTACTAAAATATTCTGGAATTTAATGTAGACTCCCACACCCCTTATTTATATTTCTGCATAGGCTGAATATTTGGTGTGGAATATCCATCTATATCTTTTTGGATTGACTAAACTCTACATTTCCTTCAATCTACAACTTAAAACTGTGTTAATCATGTTCAAATATAGTTAAGTGTCCCTTAGCCTGCTTCCTCAATACTGTGATCTTATTTCTACCATTGTGTTCTCACAGTGTATTATATTTTTCATATAGTTATTTGTTTCCAGAGATACCAGAGAGCTTGCTTTCTCTCTCTCTCTCCAGATAAGGACATGGCAAAAAGGCAGCTGCCTATTAAGACCAGAAGAGACCCTGAACCTGACCATGCAGACACCCTGGTCTTAAACTTGGATTGTCAGCTACCAGAACAATAAGAAAATAACTTTCTGTTGTGGCCGGGCACAGTGCCTCACGCCTGTAATCCCAGCACTTTGGGAGGCTGAGGCAGGTGGATCAGGAGGTCAGAGATCGAGACCATCCTGGCTAATGCAGTGAAACCCCACCTCTACTGAAAATACAAAAAATTAGCCAGGCATGGTGGTGGGCACCTGTAGTCCCAGCTACTCGGGAGGCTGAGGCAGGAGAATGGTGCAAACCCAGGAGGTGGAGCTTGTAGTGACCCGAGATTACGTCACTGCACTCCAGCCTGGGCAACAGAGCAAGACTCCATCTCAAAAAAAAAAAAAAAAAAAAAAAAAAGAACAGAATTTTCTGTCGTTTAAGCCACCCAATTTATGGTATTTTGTTATGGCTGCCTCAGTTGACTAAAACAGTATATATACTAACCATAAACTATAATATATAATATTGGTGTATATGCATATAGTGTATATATATAAATGTATATGTATTATATATGTGTATATATAGTGTGTATATATATATACACACAGTATATATATAAATTTATGTATACACACAGTATATATAAATACACACACTACATTTATATATATATATACACACTATATATATACACATGCACTACATATTTACACACACAAACGTACACACATACACACATACACACTGATTAGATGGAAAATATGATTGCAGATTGCATGCCAAAATTGGAAATTGAATGAAATGTTCCACCTGGCAATAATGAGAAACTAAAGATCTATTTCTCACCATTCAGATCATTAATTAGAATTGAAACCCCAAAATATAATGTTGTATTTTAATAAGTTTGCACTAATTTTTTAAAAAGTATCCATTATTCATTAAACCATTACTAAAACATATTTTATACTAAATTGTCATATTAACCATTTAAAAATTTAAACTATATTTTATGTTAATTTAGAAACGCCTAAACCAAAATTGGAAGTCTACTCATAAATTCATATTACATCAATTTTGAGAGACTCCTTTCAAAAATGCCCTAAACATTTCGTGTATTTCAAAATCGGACAGAAATCAATACCTATATTCCTCCTGTGTGAAGCGTGGGATCTCACCAGGATGTAAGACAAGAATCTTCACTGTGGCACTGCTGGACATCACAGGCTCCCCATCATCAAAAGCAACCACCACCAACTTAAAAAGCAATAAAAATTCATGTTAAAGATTATAAGTAAGAACAGCGTAACAGCACAATTTTTATATGTATGTTTTTACTTATTGGATTGCCTGGTTCCAGAAGGGGAAGCAATGATCATTTCCTCACTGCCTACCAGGTGGCAGACACTATGCTAGAAAATACTACGTTCTCACTTAATCTTTACAATAATCCAGCCAGATAAATGTTATTATTTTCACTTGCTAGATGAGAATACTCAAAGAAGTAACTAACTCTATGATTAAAAAACAACTACCAGTAAAACAAGTGTATTATACTATATCTCTCCAATTAAAGACTCATTTCTATAATTCCACTGAAGCCCACAGTAAATACACATGATTTTATAGCACCAATACACTTATTTAAGAAGTGTTAAATTCAGACACATAAAAAGCTAATTATCTTGCTCAAAAAAGAAATTAATTTTCCTAGTGAATTAGTTGTTTTTGAGATTATAGGGCAGAAATACTTTACTCTAGAGGATAAAATTGGAAATCTTTATAGTTTAACACTCTTTGGTATACTATCTCTTAAAAACAAATTATAAGGCCAAGTTCATTTGGTATAGCAGAAATTGTTCAAATGATGAAAACTAAGAAAAAGCTTTAGTGTTGAGATGTGATGTCTGACATTATTTATCACTGCAATAGGATTTATAATTGATTATTTTCTTTAATAACCTACATTACATCAAAGTAATTCTATGTTTACTTTAAGACATGTTAAATACTTTCAGAACTATGTGCTTCTTTGGAATATAAATTGTTTTGGAAGCTGCAGGTTAACAATGTAAACTAATTCAACCTAGATCACAGAAGACTGTAACCAAGGATCATCCTGAGAGCCACAATTGACCTTTGGGTTAATGCTAATTTACAAACTGATCAGCTGTTCCAAACAGCGGTAAAATCATGAGAGACATAGTGCTCACTGATCCTTACGTGGTTAACTGATAAAGCTATTTCCCTACTGTAGAGTCAAAGACTTTATTCACAGTGACAAAAATTATTCTAAGTAACTATTAAAAATGGAAATGTTCAAACACTTAATAAAATTGTCTACTTATGGTAATGCAAATTATTGTTTTAATACCTTGCCAGGTAGAGACAGGCATTATTTTGTCAAATATATTTTTAAATATGTAAAAAACAAAAGAGGGAATATGTTCTGTTTCATTAGTATTTGAAGAAAAGTAAAATTTGACAAAAAATCAAATAGATACAGATATTTTCCTAGATATATGCAAAGATTAACATAACAACAATCAGTATTGAGTGGTATTAGGAAAATGGATACTCTCAGGAAAGATGAAGAATGCATACAAGGGGTATTTTTTTCAAATTTTCTAGGATTGTAATATATCAATCTTATCTTAAAAAAGTGAGTAAGGGAAAAATGATATTCATACAAGTAGTTGCATGATAGCATTTATTGTAACAAAAAATGGAAAGTCTAATTATAAAGCAACTCAGTATTATATTAAAAAGAAAAACAAAATGTTATATAGTAAAATACTATGAAACCACTAAAATAATAGTATTAATGTCACTTATTGGCATAGACAACATCATATTGAATTTAAAAACCAGTATGTATAAGACTATGTGATTTGAAAACATATATTTATATATTTGTGTTTGTATGAAATGTCATCATGAGGATAGAGATCAAAACGCAAATTCTAGCTATTTCCAAGATGTGAGATACCAAGTGGTTTTCTTTTTACTATTTTTGTAAGTTTCTAAGAGAAAAAAAAATTGTAATTTAAAAAAATTAAAAAGGAGAAAAATTGAAAGAAAAAAATGTGCTGTCATCTGTTAAGCCAAATTCTCTATCAAAAATTAAACATCAAATAGACCACATAATGAAAAGAGACACTGACCTTAAAAATTGTTGTAGGTTCTTCATTAAGATTGACTCGTGTTATTACTCTTCCAGAATCTTCTTCCACTTCAAAAATACTGGCAGGGTAAGGAAACTGTACATCATCTACTCTATACCTCACACGACTTGCAGGTAATCCCTAAAATAAAATTATTAATTATTAATTTGCTGTTACCAAGTTAAAACACAGTGCAATGATAATATTAAATGGATCTTTAAAATTCATGGTCTTTTAGAAGTGAAAATCATATTTCCATATTTTCATTCTTTCAGAGCTGAAATGTAGCCAGATCATTATTTCTTCATGATAACTCAATCTGAATCAATGAAGTATCTCTACTACAGGTTATTTTAAAATGATTTATATGAGAGAAAAATTAATGGTTGCTTTGGGCATCTTCTCTACCACTTTCCTTTAATTATGTGAATTACATCTTCCTCCCAAAACACCCAATATCTCCTTTTTTAAATTCAGAGACAGGGTCTTCCTTTGTTGCCCAGGCTGGAGTGCAGTGGCATCACCATAGTTCCCCATAACCTCAAAACTTCTGGTTTCAAGTGTTCCTATCCCACTTTAGCCTCCCAAGTAGCTGGGAATACAGGTGTGTGCAACCATGCTTGGCTAATTTGAGAGGACTGTAGTAAAGTGCAGGAATGGACATGAAAGCTAAAAAAACAAAAATTATTTACCATCTACACTGTGTTGATTACCATGCTAGGTATTTCTATACATCATTAGGTTAATGCTCAATCTTTTAAGATGACATTAATAATGAAGATGATAGTAATAATGGTAAGTTAATGACGCTAACAATTGCTAGATGCTTACCACTTGCCGGAACCACATTAAAGATGATGTATGTGTACTCTGTTACCCATTTTAGAGCTAAGGAACTTGTGGCTTACAATAAGTTAAAGAGTGCTGAAATATTCCAGAGATAGGCCAAGATAAGTTGGGACACCAAACAAAGTCACTTTTAAAGAAAACAATTAAAATTTGATAAGTTTTTAAAAGAATCAAAGTGATTGTAAAGGAACAGTCAAAATTTTGCTGGCTGTCCTCACTTATATTAGGTTTCAGATTGGTTTCCTTTGGAACTATGTAGGGTGACATTGAGGTGAGCACTGTAACATTTACAGTGCTTAGGCCTTGTAAATTTCTTAAAACCTAGAAGTCAAATAAATATCTTGAGCAGAGAACTAGTATGTGGTAAAGTTTTACTTCAAACCTAAACACTAAATTACAACATTAACTTCTTCAGAGAAAGAAACACTCCTATTTGGCATTATTCTGATGAAGAAGAAGTAAGAACATTACCCCCCACAGGGTGTTGATTTGGCTGGACTTGACACTTTGGTGTAAAAACTGTTCTGAGAACATTGCTTTTTATATTTCCATTTTCTTCAAGACTGTCCTTGAAAATAATCTGTTGCTCATGTTGGTTCCTGAATTACAGTTGGGCTATGAGATAAATATGAGTTTTCAGGATTTGTATAATTCCCTATTTTCTGTTAGTTCAGTCCTTTCATATACTACACGTCACCACTGATGACTGTCTCCTTGAATACATTCTTTATTTAACCTTTTTCCACTATTCTGCCTTTTCTCCTTCCCATCTGGTGCTCTGTCTCAGACTCTGCTTGTTCCCACTCTTTCTGGCTACTAAATGTTGGAGTTTTCCAAGGCTCTGTTTCAAGAACTTCTACATTTTCTACTTCTACTCTCGGCCCCTGGAACCTCTCCCAGTCTGATAGCTTCAAATATCTTCTATTTGTTCATAAATATCAAATTTTAATATCTGGCTAAACTCTGAACATTTTAAGTCCAAACTAGTACACATAATTGTCCACAGATATGCTATTTTCAAATAAATGTATTCAAAACCAGAATGATTTCATCTCCCAAATTTATAACTCTTCTACTATAGATAATGGCTCTACCTTTTACTAAGGTGTTCTATCTGAAAGCCTAGGGGTAATCATTGATCCTTTCTCTTAAGCCCCATAGCCAAATCATCATCACATCCTGCCAATACCTCAATGAGTATAGGCCCTAATGTCTTCTCATATCCTCTGTGTTTTCTGTAGTAGACTCTTAATTGACTTTCTGCTTCCATTGTATTAAAATTATCTCATGACTCCTGCTTAAACCCTTCCAATGATTTTGCATCACACACAAAAAAAATAAATACAAAGTTGTTAGTAAGGGCAATCTGATCCTAAAAACATTTCTTTTTTGCCTACTCATCTGATTTCATCTTGTTCATTTCCCTTTCACACATTTTCCTTGTTCCTGCCTCCTTGGCTTTGCCAAGGCAATAGTCCTTTACCAGGAAAATAAGGTGGCAATATAATACACTCATCTCTCAGATTTTTGGCTAATAAATTTACCTTCCTCTTCTCCAGGCGTTCTCTAATACTCCCTTTAAATTATCTTTCTTCAGCAACCCTGTCTGAAATTATAGCATATATTTTATGTATTTACTTGTTTACTGTTTGTCTCCCACATAAGAATACAAGCTTTATTAGGGTAGGGACTGTAGCTGAGTACCTTGAATGTTACCTGACCCATAATATGTACTCAAGGAGTATTTGAATAAATAATTTTTTATTTATAAAAAAATTTATTTATAAATTTTATTTATTCATAAAATTTTTATAAATTTTATTTATTCATAAAATTTTTATAAAATTTTATTTATTCATAAAATTTTTATAAATTTATTTAAAAATTATTTATAAAAATTTTATTTATAAATTTTATTTATAAAAAATTTATTTGCATAAATAAGTGAATGGATAACCACACATCAAGGGTGCCCAGACACTTCAACTGATATCTAAAGTATTCATATATTTGAAGGTTTGGGAAATAGAGAACATTGAATAAACCTTGAAAGCATGTTAGGGAACTGCCAGTTCTGGGATAATATTTTTATATAAACCACTGATTTCACCTAGTGGTGGATGGTCAGTTCACCCACTGAAGATTTATAGAAACAAGGACACATTTTTTTAGAAAAACTTTGGCCTATATGGACAGAATCAGACTTATTATAATCATATACAATGGCAAACCTTGTATATGATTTGCTTGTGAAAGAGTGGGGGTTTAGCAGAAGACATCGTAGGACTTGGGGCACAGTGTCATGCAATGTCAGCAACTTTGCTTGCATTTGAATAATAATGATAATAACAAGAGTTGTTAGCTATCAGTTTGAGTATTTTACTATGTATCAGACTGCATGTATTACATGCATTTTCATACCTACAATAAGTTCAGAAGTTGGTATTAATAGTACCTACATTTTTTTTTTTTTTTGAGACAGAGTCTTGTACTCTTACCCGGGCTGGAGTGCAGTTGCACGATCTCCGCTCACTGCAACCTCCGCCTCTCAGGTTCAAGTGATTCTCCTGCCTCAGCCTCTCAGGCAGCTGGGACTACACGAGCCCGCCACCATGCCCGGCTAATTTTTTTCTATTTTTAGTAGAGATAGGGTTTCACTATGTTGGCCAGCCAGGTCTTAAACTCCTGACCTCATGATCCGCTCGCCTTTGCCTTCCAAAGGGCTGAGATTACAGGCGTAAGCCACCGCGCCCAGCCCTACTACCTATATTTTTAAAATAATAAAATCTAGGCTTTAAGAATTATCTTCTGAAATTTTCTTAGCTGGAAAATGCCAAAGTTATTAATTGAACAAACTTGGCTCACACTAAAACCGAAGTCTTTTAATAACAAATCAACTTAACATTTTTCAGTACTATCTTAAAGGCAATAGTCCTTTACCAGGAAAATAAGGTGGCAATACAATTGAGCAAAAGTGCTTGGCAAAGATACTATAGAATTTGATACCCTAGTAAATCTCGCCTTAGAACACTTTCTAAGAGGTTATGCAGCACATAATTCAAGTCACCTCCAGAACAGGAGGTCAATGATGAAAGAGGATAATTATAGCACCAACTGCTTCAAGAACAAATTTTTAGAGTTTTTGCTAGCATGAGGACCCATTCAGTCTGTAGGACGGTGACTAAAATTACTTATGACAATCAGATTGGCTCTCAAAAACATAAAATAAGTTAATTATACTTAGAATCTTCTTTTTAATAAAGCCAAAATTTTTTTTTGCATATGGAATTATGCCTGTAATTGATAAAATGAAAAAGAAAACATGCTGGTATTATGGAATGTTATCTCTCAGATGCCTAAAATAGTTTGCTATCCAGAACATCTTAGAACTTCCTGGATGATTTTTACAGATAAGATTGTATGTATATAAATATGAACATATGACTAAAATAGTTTGCTATCCAGAAAATCTTAGAACTTCCTAGATGATTTTTACAGATAAGATTGTATGTATACAAATATGAACATACATGTTACATAGTGACTACATCAATAAACTTTTTATTCTAAGATTGCAATTATTCTATAGATATACCACACCATCATGAAAGTGTGGCCCTGAGAGGACTCATTTAGCCTGCAAGAAACATTTTGATTCTTTTATCACCCTTGTTATCAAAGCACATTTTATTTTATATCACATATTATGATAACTATACTAAATAACTAAAATGATGTAGACTTTCCTCTCAAAACATTTAAAAGTTTTTTTCTCTCTCTGTCCTTTCCTAAAATCTTCCTTCCCTTCTTCCCTTCTTTTTGCTTTCCCTTCCTCCCTCCTTTCCTTTCTTTACTTCTTTCCAAAGTCTTTTTAAAATAGTTGCATAAATAAGCTATATAATAGGTAAAGGTAATAGGCTTTGGGAAACAGCTCTAATTCCTAATATTATTTCTGGGAAATTTACAAAATGAATCAAGTCAAATTCATTGTTTTAAGAAATTATAAAAATAGCTGTGGCTTTAATCTTGGAAAAAATTGTCATTTTGAAACCCAGAATTTCAAGTACTCTAAAAAAGTTATAAACTTGATCACTTAAAATTATGAATTAGCATTTATTAAGTATCTTTTAATACTTTATTCCACTAAAATATAATAGATATGATCGAAGTATTCTAATGTATAAAACTCACCCTTATTAGTTATGTTTTAAAAACTAAAATAATATAGTAAATGAGTTTATGAATTATATATTTTAATTATTATATATGTGACAATTAAATATTTAAATAATCATTCATATATATATGTATATATATTTTAAAGACAGGATCTTGTGTTGTCACCCAGGCTGATGTGCAGTGGCATGATTATAGCTCACTGCAGCTCACACAATCTTTCTGCCTCAGCCTCCCAAGAGGCTTGATATGGTTTGGCTTTGTCTCCACCCAAATTTCATCTTGAATTGCAGTTCTCATAATCCCCACATGCTGTTGGAGGGACCTGGTGGGAGGTAACTTAAACATGGGGGCAGTTACCCTCATGCTGTTCTTGGGACAATGAGTGGCTTCTCACGAAATCTGATGGTTTTATAAAGGGCTTTTCCCCCTTTTGCTTGGCACTCCTCCTTGCTGCTGCCATGTGAAGAAGGATGTGTTTGCTTCCGCTTCCACCATGACTGTAAGTTTCCTGAAGTCTCCCCATCCCTCTGGAACTGTGAGTCAACTAAAACTCTTTCCTTTATTAACTACCCAGTCTTGGACAGTTCTTTATAGCCATGTGAGAATGGATTAATACATAGCTGGAACTACAGGTGCATGCCATCATGCTGAACTAATTATTTTTAATTATTTGTAGAGATAAGGATTTCTTTATGTTGCCCAGGTTGGTCCAGAACTCCTGGCCTCAAGTGTTCCTTTCAGTTTGGCCTCCCAAAGTATTAGGATTACAGGTGTAAACCACTGCACCTGGCCTAGACAAACATTAAATTTCCAAATATTTGCTTTTATTTTAAATTGTATTAGGAATAGACAGAAGTCTCTTTTATATATACCCAATAAGTTAATGTTTCTTTCAATTAAATACTTCAAATAATCATATTTTTTAAAGTAAACTATAGAAAACATTTAAAATCAATATGAAAATTTTAAATATTAATTTCTACTTCATTCATGATAATATAGTATGTATATTCTACCGTATCTCTCTATGCATAGCTGTATATATGTCAAGAGGAATTTTTTGGACCATGAATAATGATAAAAGCTATCTATTTACAAGTAAATCAATATTTGGAGGAGGTTCCAAGATGGCCAAATAGGAACAGCTCCAGTCTACAGCTCCCAGCGTGAGTGATGCAGAAGACAGGTGATTTCTGCATTTCCAACTGAGGTACCGGGTTCATCTCACTGGGGCTTGTTGGACAGTGGGTGCAGCCCATGGAGCAGGGTGGGGCATTGCCTCACCTGGGAAGCACAAGGGGTTGTGGAATTTCCTTTCCTAGACAAGGGAAGCCATGACAGATGGTACCTGGAAAATTGGTACACTCCCACTCTAATACTGCGCTTTTCCAACAGTCTTAGCAAACGGCCCACCAGGAGATTATATCCCACGCCTGGCTCAGAGGGTCCCACACCCATGAAGCCTCACTCACTGCTAGCATAGCAGTCTGAGATCGAACTGCAAGGCAGCAGTGAGGCTAGGGGAGGGGCATCCACCATTGCTGAGGCTTGAGTAGGTAAACAAAGTGGACAGGAAGCTCGAACCGGGTGGAGCCCACCACAGCTCAAGGAGGCCTGCCTGCCTCTGTAGACTCCACCTCTGGGGGCAGGGCAGAGCTGAACAAAAGGCAGCAGAAACTTCTGCAGACTTCAATATCCCTGTCTGACAGCTTTGAAGAGAGTAGTGCTTCCCCCAGCACAGAGTTTGAGATCTAAGAACGGACAGACTGCCTCCTCAAGTGGGTCCCTGACCCCCAAGTAGCCTAACTGGGAGACACATCCCAGTAGAGGCCGACTGACACCTCATATAGCCGGACGCCACTCTGAGACGAAGCTTCCAGAGGAAGGATCAGGCAGCAACATTTGCCATTCTGCAATGTTTGCTGTTCTGCAGCCTCCGCTAGTGATACCCAGGCAAACACGGTCTGGAGTGGACCTCCAGCAACTCCAACAGTCCAGCAGCTGACGGTCCTGACTGTTAGAACGAAAACTAACAAACAGAAAGGATATCCACACCAAAACCCCATCTGTACATCACCATCATCAAAGACCAAAGGTAGATAAAACCACAAAGATGGGGAGAAACCAGAGCAGAAAAGTTGAAATTCTAAAAATCAGAGCACCTCTTCTCCTCCAAAGGAACACAGCTCCTCACTAGCAATGGAACAAAGCTGGATGGAGAATGACTTTGAGGAGTTGAGAGAAGAAGGCTTCAGACCATCAGTAATAACAAACTTCTCCGAGCTAAAGGAGGATGTTTGAACCCACCACAAAGAAGCTAAAAACCTTGAAAAAAGATTAGACAAATGGCTAACTAGAATAAACAGTGTAGAGAAGACCTTAAATGACCTGATGGAGCTGAAAACCATGGCACGAGAACTATCTGAGGCATGCACAAGCTTCAGTAGCCGATTTGATCAAGTGGAAGAAAGGGTATCAGTGATTGAAGATCAAATGAATGAAATGAAGTAAGAAGAGAAGTTTAGAGAAAAAAGAATAAAAAGAAATGAACAAAGCCTCCAAGAAATATGGAACTATGTGAAAAGACCAAATCTACATCTGATTAGTGTACCTGAAAGTGACAGTGAGAATGGAACCAAGTTGGAAAACACTCTGCAGGATATTATCCAGGAGAACTTCCCCAACCTAACAAGGCAGGCCAACATTCAAATTCAGGAAATACAGAGAACGCCACAAAGATACTCCTCAAGAAGAGCAACTCCAAGGCACATGATTGTCAGATTCACCAAAGTTGAAATGAAGGAAAAAATATTAAGGGCAGCCAGAGAGAAAGGTCTGGTTACCCACAAAGGGAAGCCCATCAGACTAAAAGTGGATCTCTAAGCAAAAAATGTACAAGTCAGAAGAGAGCAGGGGACAATATTCAACATTCTTAAAGAAAAGAATTTTCAACCCAGAATTTCATATCCAGCCAAACTAAGCTTCATAAGTGAAGGAGAAATAAAATCCTTTACAGACAAACAAATGCTGAGATATTTTGTCACCACCAGGCATGCCTTACAAGAGCTCCTAAAAGGAAGCACTAAACATGGAAAGGAACAACCAGTACCAGCCACTGCAAAAACATGCCAAATTGTAAAGACCATTGATGCTAGGAAGAAACTGCATCAACTAACGAGCAAAATAACCAGCTAAGATCATAATGACAGGATCAAATTCACACGTAACAATATTAACCTTAAATGTAAATGGGCTGAATGCTCCAATTAAAAGACACAGACTGGCAAACTGGATAAAGAGTCAAGACCCATCAGTGTGCTGTATTCAAGAGACCTATCTTATGTGCAGCGATACACATAGGCTCAAAATAAAGGGATGAAGATCTACCAAGCAAATGGAAAGCAAAAAAAAAATAGCAGGGGTTGCAATCCTAGTCTCTGATAAAACAGACTTTAAACCAACAAAGATCAGAAGAGACAAAGAAGGCCATTACATAATGGTAAAGGGATCAATTCAACAAGAAGAGCTAACTATCCTAAATATATATGCACCCAATACAGGAGCACCCAGATTCATAAAGCAAGTCCTTGGAGACCTACAAAGAGACTTAGACTTCCACACAATAATAATGGGGGACTTTAACACCTTCAGGTCTTCAGAGCAGAACTGAAGGAGACAGAGAAACAAAAAACTCTTCCAAAAAATCAATGAATCCAGGAGCTGTTTTTTTTTAAAAAATCAACTAAATTGATAGACTGCTAGCAAGGCTAATAAAGAAGAAAAGAGAGAAGAATCAAATAGACACAATAAAAAATGATAAAGGGGATATTACCACTGAGCCCACAGAAATACAAACTACCATCAGAGAATACTATAAACACCTCTATGCAAATAAGCTAGAAAGTCTAGAAGAAATGGATGAATTCCTGGACACATACACCCTCCCAAGAATAAACTAGGAAGAAGTTGAATCCCTGAATAGACCAATAACAGGCTCTGAAATTGAGGCAATAATTAATAGCCTACCAACCAAAAAAAGTCCAGGACCAGATGGATTCACAGCCAAATTCTACCAGAGGTACAAAGTGGATCTGGTACTATTCCTTCTGAAGCTATTCCAGTCAATAGAAAAAGAAGGAATCCTCCCTAACTCATTTTATGAAGTCAGCATCATCCTGATACTAAAGCTGGCAGAGACACAACAAAAAAAGAGAATTTAAACCAATATCCCTGATGAACATCAATGTGAAAATCCTAAACAAAATACTGGAAAACCAAATCCAGCAGCACATCAAGAAGCTTATCCACCACAATCAAGTGGGCCTCATCCCTGGGATGCAAGGCTGGTTCAACATACGCAAATCAATAAACGTAATGCAGCATATAAACAGAACCAAAGACAAAAACCACATGATTATCTCAATAGATGCAGAAAAGGCATTTGACAAAATTCAACAGCCCTTCCTGCTAAAAACTCTCAATAAACTAGGTATTGATGTAACCTATCTTAAAATAATAAGAGTTATTTGTGACAAACCCACAGCCAATATCATACTGAATGGGCAAAAACTGGAAGCATTCCCTTTGAAAACTGGTACAAGACAGGGATGCCCTATCTCACCACTCTTATTCAACATAGTGTTGGAATTTCTGGCTAGGGCAATCAGGCAGGAGAAAGAAATAAATGATATTCAATTAGGAAAAGAAGAAGTCAAATTGTCCCTTTTTTCAGATGACATGATTGTATATTTAGACAACCCCATCATCTCAGCCCAAAACCTCCTTAAGCTGATAAGCAACTTCAGCAAAGTCTCAGGATACAAAATAAATGTGCAAAAATCACAAGCATTCCTATACACCGATAACAGACAAACAGAGAGCTAAATCATGAGTGAATTCCCATTCACAATTGCTTCAAAGAGAATAAAATACCTGGGAACCCTACTTACAAGGGATGTGAAGGACCTCTTCAAGGAGAACTACAAACCACGGCTCAAGGAAATAAAAGAGGACACAAACAAATGGAAGAACATTCCATGCTCATGGATACGAAGAATCAATACCATGAAAATGGTCATACTGCCCAAGGTAATTTATAGATTCAATGCCATCCCCATCAAGCTACCAATGACTTTCTTCACAGAATTGGAAAAAACTACTTTAAATTTCATATGGAACCAAAAAAGAGCCCACAGCCAAGACAATCCTAAGCCAAAAGAACAAAGCTGGAGGTATCACGCTACCTGACTTCAAACTATACTACAAGTCTACAGTAACCAAAAACAGCATGATACTGGTACCAAAACAGAGATATAGGCCAATGGAACAGAACAGAGCCCTCAGAAATAATACCACACATTTACAACCATCTGATCTTTGACGAATGTGACCAAAACAAGAAAAAGGGAAAGCATTCCCTATTTAATAAATGGTGCTGGGAAAACTGGCTAGCCATATGTAGAAAGCTGAAACTGGATCCCTTCCTTACACCTTATACAAAAATTAATTCAAGATGGATTAAAGACTTAGATGTTAGACCTAAAACCATAAAAACTCTAGAAAAAAACCTAGGTAATACCATTCAGGACATAGGCATGTGCAAAGGCTTCATGACTAAAACACCAAAAGCAATGGCAACAAAAGCCAAAATTGACAAATTGGATCTAATTAAACTAAAGAGCTTCTGCACAGCAAAAGAAACTACCACCAGAATGAACAGGCAACCTACAGAATGGGAGAAAATTTTTACAGTCTACCCATCTGACAAAAGGGCTAATATCCAGAATCTACAAAGAACTTAAACAGATTTACAAGAAAAAATCAAACAACCCCATCAAAAAGTGGGCAAAGCATATGAACAGACACTTTTCAAAAGAAGACATTTATGCAGCCAACAGACACATGAAAAAAATGCTCATCATCACTGGCCATCAGAGAAATGCAAATCAAAACCACAATGAGATACCATCTCACACCAGTTAGAATGGTGATCATTAAAAAGTCAGGAAACAACAGGTTCTGGAGAGGATGTGGAGAAACAGGAACACTTTTACACTGTTGGTGGGACAGTAAACTAGTTCAACCATTGTGGAAGACAGTGTGGCGATTCCTCAAGGATCTAGAACTAGAAATACCATTTGACCCAGCCATCGCATTACTGGGCATATATGCAAAGGATTATAAATCATGCTGCTATAAAGACACATGCACACCTATGTTTATTGTGGTACTATTCACAATAGCAAAGACTTTGAACAAACCCAAATGTCCATCAATGATAGACCGGATTAAGAAAATGTGGCACATATACACCATGGAATACTCTGCAGCCATAAAAAAGGATGAGCTCATGTCCTTTGTAGGGACATGGATGAAGCTGGAAACCATCATTCTGAGCAAAGTATTGCAAGGACAGATAACCAAACACCACATGTTTTCACTCATAGGTGGGAACTCAACAATGAGAACACTTGGACACAGGGCGAGGAACATCACACACCAGGGCCTGTCATGGGGTGGGGGGAGGGGGGAGGGATAGCATTAGGAGATATACCTAATGTAAATCTCGAGTTAATGGGTGCAGCACACCAACGTGGCACATGTATACATATGTAACAAACCTGCACGTTGTGCACATGTACCCTAGAACTTAAAGTATATTAAAAAAATAAATTAAAAAAACAAATCAATATTTAAAATTGCGTTACTACGGCGATATATTTCTTTTCTATATCATTTTGAAATTGTGATAAAATTGCTTTAATATGAACACTAAAAGCAGTATACAGAATTACTTTCTTAAAGTTCTTACTGACCAGTAAATTACTTTTTTGGTTCCGTACTCTCATCAACCAAATATAGTGTTCTCTATTTAGGTTTAGAAAAATCTTGAGGTCATTAGTTATTTCCCTGTATTCACACAGTATTACCACTAGACCACAGCATTTAAATAGATTTTTAAAAGATTTTTAGAAAAAAAAATCATAGCCATTGCTCCTTCACTGCTGAAGACAGAATGAGATTTGGTTTCAACAAATACTTAGATATGAGGAAGAGCCTTTCTAATTGGTAAAGTAACATAGTCTCCTTCAGAAGGATACATGTATTTTAGAAATAAAATATTCAAAATAGGAGCATGCTATTACAGGAAGGTTACTAAATCAAAGTGAGCTGAAAACGTTGCCAACATAGAATAATAACTGAATTTAATGACAATTTTATATTTGTTTATTTGTTTATTTTACCTTATTTTTCTTGAGACAGAGTTTCACTCTGTCGTCCGGGCTGGAAGGCAGTGGCGTGATCTTGGCTCACTGCAACCTCCGCCTCCCAGGCTCAAATGATTCTCGTTCCTTAGCCTACCAAGTAGCTGCGATTACAGGGACGCTCCATGCCTGGATAATTTTTGCATTTTTAGAAGAGACAGGGTTTCACCATGTTGCCTAGGCTGCTCTCAAACTCCTGAGCTCAAGTGATCCACCCACCTTGGCTTCCCAGAGTGTTGGGATTACAGGCATCAACCACCACATCCAGCCAGAAATTAAACACAATTTAAAACAAATCTCTAGGGGCTTTTTGTTTTCCATTAGATAAAATATACTTAACTTTAAAGATTAGTATCATACAACTAAGTAATAATATACTTATTTATATAAGATATATTTGTAAGAGAAATTTAAAAATTGTCTAAAATATTAGAAATTAAAAATTTTATAAACTACTAACCTGTCATCATGCTCATATGTTTTATTTCTATTTATTTGTGAAATACAGCATTTTTTCAGTCCTTGTTTATATGAAAACTGTCTAAAGGTTTGATAGTTAATCACTCTATCTTTCCTGGAACACTCTTTATATGGGTTATAGAATATCATATTCCACACTACTGGCTGCCTTAGTGATCACTCTTCATTCTTCTATTTAGCTGATTCGTTTACCTATTCACAACTTTCAAGTGATGGCGACCACAGGCGCCTCTGCCCTTTTTCTTATTTTTTTTTTAAATTTCAACTTTTATTTTAGGTTTTGGGGTACATGTGCAAGTCTGTTACACGATGTTTCATAATGCTGAGGTTTGGGGTACAATTGATCCAGTCATCGAGGTAGTGAGCATAGTACTCAATATGTAGTTTTTCAGCTCTTGCTCCCCTCCTTCCCCCACCTCCTCTAATAGTCTCCAGTATCTATTGTTCCCATCTTTTTGTCCAGGTGTACCCAATGTTTAGCTCCCACTTATAAGTGAAAACATGCAGTATTTGGTTTTCTGTTCCTGCATTAATTCACTTGGTATAATTGTTTCCAGCTGCATCAATATTGCTGCAAAGGGCGTGCTTTCATTCTTTTTTATGTTTGCATAGTATTCCATGGTGCATATGTACCACATTTTCTTTATCCAATACACCACTGATGGACACTCAGATTGATTCCATGTCTTAGCTATTGTGAAAAGTGCAGTGATGAACATATAAGTGCATGTGACTTTTTGGTAGAGCAATTTATTTTTCTTTGGTTATATACCCAGTAATGGAATTGCTAGGTCAAATGATGATTCCATTTTAGGTTAATTGAGAAATCTCCAAACTGCTTTCCACAGTGGCTGAATTAATTTACATTCCCACCAACAATGAATAAGTGTTTTTTTTCCCCCCATAACCTCACCAGCATCTGTTTTTTGACTTTTTAATAATCAATACTCTGACTGGTGTGCGGTGGTATTTTACTGTGGTTTTGATTTGTGTTTCTCTGATTATTAGTGATGAACATTTTTTCTTATGTTTGTTAGTTGCTTGTATGTTTTCTTTTGAGAAGTGTCTGTTCACGTCCTCTGATTTTTAATAGGGTGTTTGTTTTTTGCTTGTCGAATTAGGTTCTTTATAGATGCTGGATATTAGACTTTTGTCAGATGCATAGTTCATAAACACTTTCTCTTATTCTATAGGTTGTCTGTTTACTTTGTTGATAGTCTCTTCGCTGGGGCAAAGCTCTTTAGTTTAATTAGTTCCCACTCATCAATTTTTGTTTTTGTTGTAATTGCTTTTGGTGACTGAGTCAAAACTTACGTGCCAAGAGCAATGTCTAGAATGATATTTCTTAGATTTCCTTCTAGGATTTTTATAGTTTTATGTCTTAAATATAAGTAATTTATTCATATCAAAAAAATTTTTGTATGTGGTTGAAGGAAAGGCCTAGTTTCATTCTTCTGCATATGGCTAGCGAGTATACTAGCACCATTCACTGAATAGGCAATTTTTCTCTATAGTTTGTTTTTGTAAGTTTTGTCACATGTCAGATGGTTGCAGGTGTGTGACTTTATTTCTGAGAACTCTATTCTGTTCCACTGGTCTATGTGTTTGTTTTTGTACCAGTACCGTGTTGTTTTGATTACTGCAGTCTTGTATTAATAATATAGTTTGATGTAGGGTAGTGTGATGCTTCCACCTTTATTCTTTTTGCTTTGCTCATATGAGTTATAGTACCATGCTTAACCCTAGGTAATGTGGGGTTCATTCATTCATTCATTCATTTAACACGTTCACTAAATAGAAATTACTGAGTTGTGAGAGTATAAAAAATGAAAAAGCTCACAAGGAGATGGAGTTGATCTCACACCCCCTTCTCCTGAATGTTCTTTAGAAATAATTCATCCATATTGACCTTATCAAACACCAACCTCCTTCCTACCTCAAGCTTTTCCATTTGCTTTTGTCTTTGCCTGTAAGACTCTTGCATCATTATCCTCTTTTAACATTCTGGTCTCAAATGACACAAACTCCTCTGCATATACTCATCCACAAACTACTCTATCACTATTATTTTTATAGCACATATGCTTATGTGAAATTATGTTACATATTTACTTGTGTATGGTTTTGCAGCCTGTCTCTGTCCATCATCTGTAAGCTCCATTCGAGTAGATTTTTTTTGTGATTTGCCATTATTTAAGAGGGCAATAATAATTTGTTAAATGAATACTACAACTGATTTAAACTGTCCCATAGAAGTGATATTTACGGTGTCTTTTAAATAAACATAGAAATTAACCTTCTCAGTCTTAAAACTTGAGAGAGCTACATTTGTTTTATCTGAGTTATTTTCTAAGGACACCAACCATCGGGCCTCCCAGAGAGTATCAAGGAACTGAAACTTACTAGAGCACTGCATCTGGGCAACGAGATACAAGACCCTTCACTGTCATGACTGGCTAACTGAGTCCCTGTTTACTGTTAACCAACTCATCTTCTTTATCTGTCCCTAATTCCTGTTTTCCTGCATGTAGTTACATTTCTTCTCTGCAATATAAACCCCTGATTTTAGTCAGTCTGGGAGATGTATTTGACACTAACCTCCCATCTCCTGGGCTGCAGCACCTGATTAAAGCCAACCCTGGCAATGCTTTTTGTCTCAGTGATCGGCTTTCTGTGCAGTGAGCAACAGGACCTAGACCAAGGATGTCCGATCTTTTAGCTTCCTTGGGCCACATTGGAAGAAGAATTATCTTGTGCCACACATATAATACACTAACACTAATGATAGCTGAAAGCTTTAAAAAAAATCACAAATAAACCTCATAATGTTTTAAGACAGTTTATGAATTTGTGTTGGGCTGCACTGAAAGCTCTCCTTGGCTGCATGTGGCCTATGGGCCATGAGTTCGACAAGCTTGATCCTAGACCAAACCCCTGACATTTCAGTAACACTTACGTGTATGTGTATCATGAGCTGCCAAGATGTATAACACATGGGGATTATGAGAAAAACAGTTCAAGATAAGATTTGGGTGGGGACACAGCCAAACCACATCATTCCACCCTGGCCCCTTTCAAATCTCATGACCTCACATTTCAAAACACAATCATGCCTTCCCAACAGTCCCTCAAAGTCTTAACTCATTTCAGCATTAATCCAAACGTCCAAGTACAAAATCTCATCTGAGACACAGCAAGTACCTTCTGCTTATGAGCCTGTGAAATCAAAAGCATTGTTACTTCCTAGATACAATGGGGGTATAGGCATTGGTAAATACACCCATTCCAAATAAGAGAAATTAGCTAAAATGAAGGGGCTACAGGCCCCATGCATGTCTAAAATCCAGGGGGGAAGTTAAATCTTAAAGCTCCCAAATGATCTTCTTTCACTCCATATCATATCCAGGTCTCACTGATGCTAGAAGTGTGCTGCCATGGCCTTGGACAGCACTACCCTTATGGCTTTGCAGTGTATAGCCCCCTCTTGGCTGCTTTCATGGCTGGCATTGAATGCCTGTAGCTTTTCCAGGCACACACAGCAAACTGTCAGTGGATTTACCATTCTGGGGACTGGAGGACAGTGGCTCTCTTCTCACAGCTCCACTAGGCAGTGCACCAGTGGGGACTCTGTGTGGGGGCTCCCACCACACATTTCTCTTCTGTACTTCCCTAGCAGAGGTTCTCCATGAGAATTCTGCCCCTGCAGCACACCTCTGCCTGGACATCCAGGCATTTCCATACATCCTCTGAAATCTAGGCAGAGGTTCCTAAACTTCAATTACTGTCTTCTCTACACCCGCTGGACCAACACCACATGGAAGCTGCCTAGGATTGAGAATTGCATCTTCTGAAGCGATGGCCTGAACTGTACCTTGGCCCATTTTAACCATGGCTGGAGTGGCTAGGATGCAGGGAACCAAGTCCTGAGGCTATACACAGCAGGGGGGTCCCTGGACCCAGCCCAGGAAACCATTTTTCCCTCTTAGGCCTCTGAGTGTGTGATGGGAGGGGATGCTGTGAATGTCTCTGACATGCCCAGCAGACATTTCCCCCATTGTCATGGTGAGTAACATTTGGCTCCTCATTACTTACGCAAATTTCTGCTGCCAACTGGAATTCCTCTCCAGAAAATGTTTTTTTTTTTTTTTTTCTACTGCATCATCAGGCTGCAAATTTTTCAAGCTTTTATACTCTGCTTCCTTTTGAACACTTTGCTACTTAGAAATTTCTTCCACCAGGTACCCTAAGTCATCTCTCTCAAGTTCAATGTTCCACAGATATCTAGAGCAGGGGCAAAATGCTGCGTCTCTATGCATAGCAAGTGTGACCTTTACTCCAGTTCCCAACAAGTTCCTCATCTCCATCTGAGACCAACTCAGCCTGGACTTTATTGTCCATATCACTTTCAGCAGTTTGTTCAAAGCCATTCAACAAATCTCTATGAAGTTCCAAACTTTCCCACATCTTCTTGTCTTCTTCTGAGCCCTCCAAACTGTTCCAACCTCTGCCTGTTACCCAGTTCCACAGTCACTTCCACATTTTCAGATGCCTTTACAGCAGTGCCACTCTACCTGGTATCAAATTACTGTATTAATCCGTTCTCACACTGCTATGGGGACATACCAGATACTTGGTAATTTATAAAGTAAATAAGTTTAATTAACTCATAGTTCTGCAGGGCTGGGGAGGCCTCAGGAAACTTACAATCATGGCAGAAACATACAAGACATCCTTCTTCACAGGGTGACAGCAAAGAGAAGTGCAGAGTGAAGTAAGGGAAAAATCCCTTATAAAACCATCAGATTTTGTGAGAACTCACTCACTATCATGAGAAGGGCATGGAAGTAACCTCCCCATGATTCAATTGTCTCCCACTGGGTCTCTCCCACTACACGTGAAGATTATGGGAACTACGGTTCAAGATGAGATTTGGGTGAGGACACAGCAAAACCATATCACCCTCTAAGAATTTATTTATCTAAGAATGGGGATACATTGTTGGCAAGTTTTCAATCTATAACCTATAAATATCTGCTAATTTTCGCATTGACAGCTTCTCATATTCGTCTCTCAAGATGGTGGACAAGGATGAGAAACATAGGTATGCTTTTGTACTCATGGGCCTCACAATTGGACAGGTTGGAGAGACAAAATGTACACATAAAAACACAATTATTTCCCAACATTTCTGATTAAAACTGTGAAAAGGAAACATGTGGTGCTATTAAACGGAGGTGCTACAACTAGAGAACAGATCTTAAGATTTATAGTAAACTAGACTTTAAAACTCACTGCAGACACTCACAAATCACAAAATACACAAAATGTATTTTAGTTCATAGAGCGTATAGTAATTGTGTTATATGTACAGTCTAATTTAGTATATCATTTGAGTATTAAAATGATAAACTAGGCCAGGTGCGGCGGCTCACGCCTGTAATCCCAGCACTTCGGGAGGCCGAGGTGTGTGGATCACCTGAGGTCAAGAGTTCGTGACCAGCCTGGCCAACATGGTGAAACTCCGTCTCTACTACAAATACAAAAAAATTAGTCTGGCATCGTGGCGGGCACCTGTAATCCAAGCTACTTGGGAGGCTGAGGTAGGAGAATTGCTAGAACTCTGGGGCAGGAGGTTGCAGTGAGCTGAGATCACACCACTACACTCCAGCCTGGGTGACAGAGTGAGACTCCATCTCAAAAAAAAAAAAGAAAAAAACTTAATTTTATTAGGATTTTGAACAAGGGGTAAAAGTAGACATATATCAGTAGGAAGTTACATAAATTAAAGCTGTCTTTTAAACAAAAAGTCTTCCTAATTTTTGGTAAGAACGTTATTAAAATATGTATATTTTAAAAATGTGTGGGATTCTAAAGGCCCTGTCAGCATATTTTCACGAAAACTTTCTTCTCGAATATTACAGTGCCATGGATGACATCAGAGTTACTTCAAGAGTTTAGGTATTAATATCCTAAAGTTTACAGTTGATGAGGATGTAAGCACTGTACCAAACTAGATGCAAAGTTGTGTTTTTCCATCACTCTGGAAGTGAGGAGAAAGAGGAGGAAAAATTAACTAACATCAATGTGCTTCACATGAGCTAAGTGTGTCATTCTCCATCAAGCCCAAACAATAATCCAGCAAAATAGTTCTTCTTATTCCTATATGATTACAAGGTTTAAAGAGGTTAATTAACTGCTGTACAATATAATTTTTATGAGTTAAACAAAAACAACAACACTAGTGACATCAGTCAATAATTTTCATATACTCTAGAGTGCCCAAACCTAACGGCACTCAGGAAGAACATGATTTATGACATCTATTATAAAGGAATCAATTTTTTTTGGTTCATGATTTAGGTATCTTTCTAAATATGATTGGGGGTAGTATGTAACTTATTTAAATATTATGTGGTTTCCAAAATATGTAACAAATGATATCAGCTTTGTGATGTCCTTTTATCTGCTAAATTTGAAATGTGTAAAATTCAATAATTATGAGTATGGATATTTACTCATATCTGTATTAACATGAATAACACATGGCAGACAAATCCTGCATTGGTGATGCTCACATTAGATTTTTAAAATAAAAATGTGATATAATTCTACAGAGTAATAAGGCGAGAATAATTAATATAGCAGAATGAATGTAAATTTACACCAAGAAAATAGAATAATAAGATTTCAATTATTTTCTTCATTATTCAGCACATTTTCTACTTTTGATTTCTATTCTTACAGTGTGTGTTAAACACAATATGTTTCGACTTAGTTATCATGAGAATATAATTAATTACTACAGAAGGTAATTGCATACCTGTATGAAGGATGTTTCAAACTTGAAAACTTAGGGAATTTCAGTGAGGCATCACGCTACCTGACTTCAAACTATACTACAAGGCTACAGTAACCAAAACAGCATGGTACTGGTACCAAAACAGAGATATAGATCAATGGAACAGAAAAGAGCCTTCAGAAATAACGCCACATATCTACAACTATCTGATCTTTGACAAACCTGAGAAAAACAAGCAATGGGGAAAGGATTCCCTATTTAATAAATGGTGCTGGGAAAACTGGCTAGCCATATGTAGAAAGCTGAAACTGGATCCCTTCCTTACACCTTATACAAAAATCAATTCAAGATGGATTAAAGACTTAAACGTTAGACCTAAAACCATAAAAACCCTAGAAGAAAACCTAGGCATTACCATTCAGGACATAGGCATGGGCAAGGACTTCATGTCTAAAACACCAAAAGCAATGGCAACAAAAGGCAAAATTGACAAATGGGATCTAATTAAACTCAAGAGCTTCTGCACAGCAAAAGAAACTACCATCAGAGTGAACAGGCAACCTACAAAATGGGAGAAAATTTTCACAACCTACTCATCTGACAAAGGGCTAATATCCAGAATCTACAATGAACTCAAACAAATTTACAAGAAAAAAACAAACAACCCCATCAAAAAGGTGGCAAAGGATATGAACAGACACTTTTCAAAAGAAGATATTTATGCAGCCAAAAGACACATGAAAAAATGCTCATCATCACTGGCCATCAGAGAAATGCAAATCAAAACCACAATGAGATACCATCTCACACCAGTTAGAATGGCAATCATTAAAAAGTCAGGAAACAACAGGTGCTGGAAAGGATGTGGAGAAATAGGAACACTTTTACACTGTTGGTGGGAGTGTAAACTAGTTCAACCACTGTGGAAGTCAGTGTGGCGATTCCTCAGGGATCTAGAACTAGAAATACCATTTGACCCAGCAATCTCATTACTGGGTATATACCCAAAGAATTATAAATCATTCTGCTATAAAGACACATGCACACGTATGTTTATTGCGGCACTATTCACAATAGCAAAGACTTGGAACCAACCCAAATGTCCAACAATGATAGACTGGATTAAGAAACTGTGGCACATATACAGCATGGAATACTATGCAGCCATAAAAAATGATGAGTTCATGTCCTTTGTAGGGACATGGATGAAGCTGGAAACCATCATTTTCAGCAAACTATCACAAGGACAAAAAACCAAACACCGCATGTTCTCACTCATAGGTGGGAATTGAACAATGAGAACACATGGACACAGGAAGGGGAACATCACACTCTGGGGACTGTTGTGGGGTGGGGGGAGGGGAGAGGGATAGCATTAGGAGATATACCTAATGCTAAATGACGAGTTAATGGGTGCAGCACACCAGCATGGCACATGTATACATATGTAACTAACCTGCACATTGTGCACATGTACCCTAAAACTTAAAGTATAATAATAATAAAAAAATATAAAAAAAGAAAATATAATGGACTAAAATAATTAGGTCCTTAGTATCAGGGGAAATCTTGATTTAGTCATTTTTCTTAAACACATAATTATCAAGAAATTACTTACTCAGGCTCACATTGTTTCCTTCATAATTTCTTCATAGTTATAGCAATCACATTGTAGCAGGGAATACCAAACTTATTATTATCATTAAAAACAAATATTAAGTAATTTGTTTTCAAGAACACAAATATTTTACCCCGACATGGTTTCCAAAATTCTTTTTCCCAAAGTCTTTGAGGCAACTACTCTGACTGATTTTGTAACAGTGCAATTCACAAAATCTCCCAAGTATGATTTAACATCAGGAATTACTATAAAGGAATTACTATAAAGTGGTTTGGGTGTGTGTGTGTTTGTGTGTGTGTGTGTGTGTATACATATACACACACAAAATATATATATACGTTTTGCAGGCATGTGACTTAGTCATATTTTAGTGAATTTAACTGGATGTCAAGGTATCCTTAAAGGACAAAAGAGAAAGAAAAAAAAAAAAACAGCAGGCGGAACTCTTCATGTAACCACTGAGAAAGTCCTGTGCTTTTTTTACTTCTTCCTCCCTCTTCCCTGTTTTTAACACCTGGAATGACCAATATGTTTTGACAACATGTTGGCAAGTTCCTTATGCAGTTTGACACTTAATATAAGGTGTTTGTATAGTTCAGTTTCTACAGATAGGATATTGACACAGCTATTTAAGATTGTAAAAAATACTTGCTTTAGGGCTATTTACCACTAAATGTTTTGGGAAATGTGCTTTTCAAAGGTAAACGTAACTCGACCCTTAAAGGTATGAAATAACACATTCCTTGTAAAATTTATTTATTTAAACACAGTTGTTAAGTTTATGAAGTTGACATTTGGCACACCGTCAGACTTTCCTAATACAAAAAATTCATGTAGCCAAAGGAACTTAGAGATGAACCTTATCTGAGCTAGTAATTAGTGACCCTATATTCTATGCCTTAAATTCTTAACACTGTCTTCACAATCTACAAGATTAAGCAGGATCCAACTTAGGTTTCCCTCTCCATCCTCCTGAAAAAAAAATGGCCTTGGTTTTTGAAACTTACTGTTCTTCCTCATACTTCAGGGCCTGATTCTTTTGTTACGTGACTTTATCTTGGCATAACCTTCAGACCTCCGCTCAGAATCACTTCTAGAACCTTCCTTGACTCTCTAGATACAATCATGCTCCCTCTTATCTGGTTTCATAGAACCCTAAACATTTCTAAGTGCTTTTCTTTTTTTTTTTTTCTTTTTTCTTTTCTTTTTTTTTTTTTTTTTTTGAGGCAGAGTCTTGCTCTGTCCTCCATGCTTGAGTGCAGTGGTGCAATCTCTGCTCACTGCAAGTTCCGCCTCCTGGGTTCACACCATTCTCCTGCCTCAGCCTCCCAAGTAGCTGGGACTACAGGCGCCCACCACCATGCTCGGCTAATTTTTTGTATATTTTAGTAGAGACGGAGTTTTACCATGTTAGCCAGGATGGTCTCGATCTCCTGACCTTGTGATCTGCCCACCTCGGCCTCCCAAATTGCTGGGATTACAGGCGTGAGCCACCGTGCCTGGCCTTACTTGATTGACTTTTTAACTTTTATCCTTTCAAGTTTGAAATACCAAGGCTTGGAACCATGACAGTTTTCCCTTATGCTTAATCTAGCATCTCTTATATAATAGAATCTCTTTAAATAATATTCAATGCACAAACATATAGTAAATCTTGAGGAATTTTTATTGTGTTTGGATCTCAAGGGCACAGATTTGAGTTAAATATTACCTATAGTTTATGAAACATTATCATTGATGGATCTTCAAGGCATATTTGTTTATTCATTTCTTTCTCTTCTTTTATTCTCATACCTGTTTTTCCTATCTCTCTTTGCCACCAATGGCAATCTTTTTAATACATTTAAGGAGTATCTTTTAACTAGACCATTTATGGTACATTGTATTATAGTTTAGCAAATATCCCCTCCCCTTTCTTCTACTTCCTATTCTGATTTTTTGGGCTAGGCCATGTGACTTGCTTTGGTCAACAGACATGAAGAACTGTGACACGGGAGCAGTCTTTACATGTCATCATGTGGTTAGGCAAGTTCTCTTAGGATTCTATTCTCACTATGTGAAAAGCAGGCCTGGTTAGCCATGCGTCCCTGCAGAAGGAGATATGTGGAACAGACATGAGCCCAGACAAGGTCAGCCAACTCCTAGCTGCCTCACAGACCCATAAATAAAAATATTGATCTTTGCTATTGCAGAACAGTGAGATTTTGGTGTTGTTTACTAAGAATTGTTTTTGTAGGAAAAACTGTAGAAGCTTCTGTGTGCTTAAAAAAAAAACTTTATATAATGGTATTGCTTTCTTTTTCTATTTTCATTGAGCACTCAGTTCTTACACTTCATTCTTTTTGCTATGTGTTAATCAAATCCTGCTGCACCAGAAGTTCACAGGGTACTTCACACTAACTAATGATCACAGTTGTATAGGAATCTCTGGTATATGTTAGAAAGTTCATAATATGACATACAATGTTCCTGACAGTGGCATTGTCTTGAATGCTTTTAAATTATTTGACTCTGTAGTAAAGATGGCTTGAGGTTGGAGAGAGGATGGGGTGGCAGGCTCTCCATTACCATGGTGAGTGGAACAGCCAGGTGTGAAGCCAAACAAGCTGTAGCATTTAGCCACAATGGTAGTGTAGTCAAAGGGAAACTTCAAAACAGAATACTTGGGTCCAGTCCTTAGATTATAAACACACCCCGAGAAAAGATCAAGCAGGGAAAAAATTGTCATGGTCATGTTTCAGAGGCATAGCACCTTCCTGACTCCCTACTACCTTATGCTACCCACTTCTTCTCTACAACTTATGCTCAGGTTCCTGGACCTCTGACCTTTACAGGATTTTCCAGAATGCAGGGGAAAAGCACAAAGAGAAGGAAGCAGATCACAAAATATAAATATGGATGACAGATCTCATAGACTTAAACCATAAAAAAGGTCAGAGTAAACATAAAAAAAAGATAGTTAATATATATTATTTACTATGTAGTAGGCACCAACTGTTCCACATAAATGACATCATTTCAACATCACAGCAACCCTATAAAGTATTTCTTTTGTTTTTAGAACACATGAAATATATTCTTTAAACAAATTTTTAAGTGTATCACACAGTATTGTTAACTACAGTCACAATTTTGGAAAGCAGATCCTTAGAACAATACCAGAAAAACAAACAACAAATAACTCAATTAAGAAATGGGTAAAGGATTTGAATAACTTTTTCAAAAAAAAACAACAACATACACACTCGACATACAAATGGCCAACAGTACATAAAAATGTGCTCAACATCATTAGTCATAATGGAAATAAAGTCAAAACTACAATCAGATATCGCCTCATGCTTTGTAGGATGGCTTTTATTTAAAACAAATTTTTTTAAAGTTAGCAAGAATGTGAAGAAATTGCTACACTTGTGCATTGTTGGTGGAAATGTAAAATGGCACTGTCAATATGAGAAACAGTATGGGGTTTCCTCAAAAAAATTACTAATGTAACTACCATATGATCCAGTAGTTCCACTTTTGGGAATTTATTCAAAATATTTGAAATCAGGATCTTTAAGAGATATCTATCTGTACTCCCATGTGTACTGAAGCATTATTCAGAGTATCCAAGATGTGGAAACAGACTAAATGTTCATTGATGGATGAGTGGATAAAGAAAATGTGGTATATGCATACAAGTGAACATTACTCAGCTTTAAAAAGAAGGAAGTACTGCCATTTGTAACAATGTGAACGAATCTTGAGGACATTATGGTAAGTGAACTAAGCCAGTCATAGGACCAATACCGCATGATTGCATTTACATGAGATATCTAAAATAGTCGTCAAACTCAAGAAGCAGAGGTGGTTGTCAGGGGCTAAGGGAAAGGGGAAATAGGGAGTAGCTGTTCAAGGGTTATAAAGTTTTAATTGTGCTATTTTTGTTCTCATTTTCCAGATGCCAGAACTGAGGGTTACAGTAAATTAAGTGACTTGACCAAGGCCACAGGGCTAGTCAGTGGGAGTTTTTGAAGTTGAAACCAGACATTCTTGCTCCTGAGCCCACACTTTTGAAACCACTTAAAATTTTATTGAGCTGATAAACTATATAAATTTGCATATGAGGGGCCATCATACACCAGACACAATTCATACAAAGAAAAGAATATCTAAATATATACTAGTAAAAAACTTTAATATAAAAATGGAGATTTTTTTAAGCAGATAAAGCTAAAATATCTAAAAATGAAGAAAAATTAATTTGGCTTCACACTTTATAATTTATTAAATAATAAAAACATAGCGAAACATCATCTATATAGCTTTAAAGGGAAAAACTTTTGACCCAAGACTCTAGTAGTCTTTCAAGTTTTCTAAGTATAAGCAAAAAAAAAGTGTCATATAAGAACTTACAAAGTGTATATCCTCAATAAATTGAATACATAAATAAACTAAGAGATGCAGCAAATGCAGAGCTTAAGAGTGGATGGGTCAGAATATAAAAGGAGTGTTGCACGTCATACATAGGTTTAAATATGGAAAATATAAATGGCTGTTTAAAAATGCCTAGGAAATATAATTAAGGCACCATAAATTATTTTTAAATAAAATGTATGTGACTAATTCTTCAAAGAAAATATAATGAAAATAAACTTACAGAGTTAAAAACAAAAAGGTGAGTCATAAATAAATGTCATGTCCCCAGATGCCTCAGACACATGAAAATTAAAAGAGTAAGAAGGCAGCATCAGGAGACCAGAGGCCAATTTACCATGAAGGCCGCCCATGGGTTCCTAATCAACAGAACTATGGTCCTTCATTTAAATTTCATTGTCCTTACCCTGTCTGCAAAGTTTTTCACCATTCATTTCCTTCTCTCCATTGAAAACTTCTTTTCACCTGTACCACATTACTAGCAGGTTTCCCTTCCATCTTGTCAGTCTTTAATTTCTCTGGCTCTTTCCACTAATCAGTCCTTGACATATCCCCAAATTCTGAGAGTCTATTTCCAGGTTTTTCTCTTATCTAATTATGTTTTCATTCTTAGAGAATGGATTTACTTTCAGAGTTTGAACCTCAACTCAGGTAACTCCTGTGTTCACGTTTCTTTTTTAAGCTCTTAGTCTGATATTTTCTGCCCGATCCATCCCAGGCTCTTTAAATGCAACCACATCATCCCCGCGTCAGATCAAAGCAATCAAAGCAGCTGCGGCAACTCAATACCTATCATCTAGGGTCCTTCTCACGGAGTTGCTGATCTGTGTGAAGGCAACCTTAGCCTCACACTGCCATCTGCCTCTAGCCTCCCCTCAGCATTAGGTTTCATGTACTCCTTGGTTTGATAACTGGGCAACAGATAAGGTTTCTGCCAGCCCCATGGTACAGCTCCTTCAGCCTCCATCCTCCACACCTGAGGCCGAGGGGATGGGGGAGGGTGTGGGTGCCAATTTTTCTCATTCTATAGATAGTTGCACTCAGATGTTTTGAAATCATTTAAAATTTAATTTGTCCTAAAAGTGACCTCAGGCTGTGACACAGTCTCTAGGCTATGTTAGGTCTGTGTTTGATTGTAGGGCTACGGTCCAAACATAGCCACCATGCAAGAAAATGAACGAATTGCAAAGAGGACAAAGATAAGACCAGGAATTATGAGTGGCTTAATTTAGAGGGTGTTAAGGCCAAGAATCCAGGTCATGAGAAGCCAAGATACCCTTTCAGAGGGTCTGTTTCCATTTCCCCTGGCAAGACACTCAGAATAAAGAATATCATTTAAGCCATAAGGGAGGTCTGTGGGCCAGTCCCAGAGAAAGTCTATTATATTTCACTCAATTTTCTTGGAAATCTGTCTTGTTTAAAGTATGTTGGGACCCAGGTCCTGTGAGGTATATTCTTATTCCCCACTCCCGAAATATGTGAATTATTGATACTGTTAAAAGAAAAGCTTTAGACAAATTTAAGAGTTTAATTGAGAAAAGAAAAAAAACATGATTTCCAAATCAGCCCCTAGAATCAAAGAAAATTCGGAGAGACTTTGGCACTGTCACAAGGTCAAACATCTATGGGAAAAAAATGTGATGTGCAAAAACTAAAACTGAGATACAGAAACAGCTGGATTGGTTACAGCTCAGCATTTGCCTTATTTAAACAAAGTTTAAACAGTTGGCCGCCTATGAGTGGTTAAAGTATACCTACTGGAATTGGCTAAGACTAAGCTGTCATTACAGGGAAACATACTACTAAAGTTAGGCTTTTAGTCTGTTTACCTGCTAAGTATCTGAGTATGGACATTTTCCAGGCTAGATTTTAGTTTTATTTAGTAACACATTATGGGATCTGAAGGACACTTTTTTAAAGGTTGAAACAAACAAATTTTACGCACATTTCCATTTATAACAAAAGAAAAATGCCCCTTTAGCTCTGGTAAGTATGACAATTTCTAAATTAAAAGAGCATTATTTACATCTGAATTGTTAATTCTAATATTAATTTCAAGTATTATTAATAATATAATCATTTTTCACTAAGCCTTCCCTTTTATACCCGTTTACACTTTCAAATCTAATTATATTCCACTGTTGTTTTAAAGATCAAGCCCCAACTGTTTCATGGTGTACCTTCTTTCTAATTAAGTATTTGAGACAAATGGGAGTCAGGCTGGGACTATAGCATGTCAATTTTCACAAGCTGACATTCACAGTAAAAGTAGTTCTTGATTATTTCCCTAACAGCTTTGATGTTAAGGGGAAAAAAAGCAACAACAACACTGAGCTGTGTATATTCCCTCCTCATGCTCCTGGGTGAGAAATCATAGTTAGTAGCTGCTGATCTTAAAAATCAGAGTCTCTGCTACATTGTTAGCAATAATCTAAATCAATACAGACTAACAACACAAGCCAGTATGTGGTGAGTCATGAAAAATAAATCAGTAGTGATATCAATTGAAAATGATACCAAAAAACTATATTATCTGGAAGGAAAAATACAATTTTATAACACTCTTGGTCCTGAATAGTTTTGACTATGGCACACAAAGCAAGCAAGCAGCGAATTACATGACTGTTACTTTCTTTCTACTGTTAGCACCCTCCGCTAATAGATTGTAACAGAATGACTGTTTGGAGGGTTAAGCATTGGGAAATGTCCATAATTACATAGCATGTTTGGTAACATCGTGACATTTTAATAAAACACAGATATACATTATAGAAAAGAAGATCTAGCCATCTTTTTACACTCTCTAGAGATCAATAAATGTACCCTTGAATGACAGATGGGTGTTGAAACCCCTTTGCAAATAATTCCTCAGGTAGCTCTTCTAAGCTCTGAAACGCTACAATAGTTCTCAAAATCTCAACAGAGGGAAATAAAATACTTCACAGTTGTAATGATTTTCTCTTTATATATATACTTTCTGAAAAAGTATAGTGAGAATACTAAGTATTTGGGAACTGATTTTAAAGTCCATAACTATTAAAAATTGCAAGAATTTTTATGGAGCATATTTATTTCATAAATCAGTATTAAAGCCTGAAAAAAGAAGTCTTAAAAGTCTACATAATTCTCACAATGTTATATATATGTTATATATATATATGTTCTATATATGTTTTATATATGTTATATATATAAAGAACATATTTCTCACAATGTTATATATATATGTTATATACATATATATAAAAGAAAGTTGGTCAAAATTGTTCATATTGAGAGGTGACAACATGCTGGTGGCCCTCACTTGCTCTCAGCGCCTCCTCGGACTCGGCGTCCACTCTGGCCACACTTGAGGAGCCCCTTCAGCCCACCGCTGCACTGTGGGAGCCCCTCTCTGGGCTGGCTGAGGCTGGAGATGGCTCCCCCTGCTTGCAGGGAGGTGTGGAGGGAGAGGTGCAGGTGGGAACTGGGGCTGTGCATGGTGCTTGTGGGCCAGCACGAGTTCCAGGTGGGTGTGGGCTTGGCGGGCCCCACACTCCGAGCGGCCGTCTGGCGCCACCGGCCCTGGGCAGTGAGGGGTTTAGCACCCGGGCCGGCAGCTGCAGAGGGTGCACTGAGTCCCCCAGCACTGCCCGCCCGCCCACGCTGCACTCGAATTCTCGCCAGGCCTCAGCCACCTCCCCACGGGGCAGGGCTTGGGACCTGCAGCCCGCCATGGCCGAACCCCCCCCACCCCCGTGGGCTCCCGCGCAGCCCGAGTCTCCCCAACAGGGTGCTGCCCCCTGCTCCATGGCGCCCGGTCCCATCAACTGCCCAAGGGCTGAGGAGAGCGGGCGCGCGGTGCGGGACTGGCAGGCAGCTCTGCCTGCAGCCCCGGCGTGGGATCCACTAGCCAAAGCCAGCTGGGCTCCTGAGTCTGGTGGGGACTTGGAGAACTTTTATGTCTAGCTGGAGGATTGTACATGCACCAATCAGCACTCTGTGTCTAGCTTGGGGTTCGTGGATGCACCAATCAGCACTCTGTATCTAGTTAATCTGGTGGGGACTTGGAGAACTTTTATGTCTAGCTAAAGGATTGTAAATGCACCAGTCAGTGCTCTGTGTCTAGCTCAAGTTTGTAAATGCACCAATCAGCACCCTGTGTCTAGCTCAAGGTTTGTAAACCCACCAATCAGTGCTCTGTGTCTAGCTCATCTAGTGGGGACTTGGAGAACTTTTGTGTCTAGCTAAAGGACTGTAAATGCACCAATCAGCACTCTGTGTATAGCTCAAGGTTTGCAAACACACCAGTCGGCACTCTGTGTCTAGCTCAAGGTTTGTAAACGCACCAATCAGTGCTCTGTGTCTAGTTAATCTAGTGGGGACTTGGAGAACTTTTATGTCTAGCTAGAGGATTGTAAATACCCCAATCAGCACT
The DNA here is from genome assembly GCF_000001405.40 of Homo sapiens. Lineage (NCBI taxonomy): Eukaryota > Metazoa > Chordata > Mammalia > Primates > Hominidae > Homo > Homo sapiens. Next base: position 53,991,781 of record NC_000010.11, read on the forward strand.
CTGTGTCTAGCTCAGGGATTATAAATGCACCAATCAGCACCCTGTCAAAACAGACCAATCAGCTCTCTGTAAAATGGACCAATCAGCTCTCTGTAAAATGGGCCAATCAGCATGATGTGGGTGGGGTCAGATAAGGGAATAAAAGCAGGCTGCCCAAGCCAGCAGCCGCAACCCGCTCGGGTCCCCTTCCACCCTGTGGAAGCGTTGTTCTTTTGCTCTTTGCAATAAATCTTGCTGCTGCTTACTGTTTGGGTCCATACTGCCTTTATGAGCTGTAACACTTGCTGCGAAGGTCTGCAGCTTCACTCCTGAGGCCAGCGAGACCATGAACCCACTGGGAGGAATGAGCAACTCTGGACGGGAGGAAGGAACAACTCCAGACGTGCTGCCTTAAGAGCTGTAACACTCACTGCAAAGGTCTGCAGTTTCACTGTTGAAGCCAGCAAGACCACGAACCCACCAGAAGGAAGAAACTCCAAACACGTCTGAACATCAGAAGGAACAAACTCTGGACACACCATCTTTAAGAACTGTAACACTCAGTGCGACAGTCTGCGGCTTCCTTCTTGAAGTCGGTGAGACCAAGAACCCACCAGTTTCGGAGACAATATTAAACATGTTCCAATTACTACTCTACTTTAAACAAGAACCTTATAAATTCCTAAAATATATAAAATATAAGGAATGGTACAAATAATGCTTCACTTGTTGGAGATGAAGTGAAGATGAAACATAAACCCTATTTATTTATCCCAATTATTCCATGTTCACATACTCACAAAAGACTATTCTGTCACAATTTAACCCTGTTCCCCAAAATCTCCTCATAAATGCAGTTTCAAAAAGAACAAAACTATGCAAATAAACATTACACCTGTAGTTTTGTTCTGTCAAATTTGGGAATGAAACGTCTCTGGTGAAAAGAAATAAACGGTTAGCCATTTTTAATTTCAAAAATGATCAGTCATTCACTATTCATGTCTCATGTGAACTACATAATGTCAACGCTGTCACGAAAGCACGGTAGAAAAAAGAGATCCTCTCAGCTTCAATTTAGTAGAGGGAAAAGTTCCTGGAATATGTTTTTCCTCCCTCTGGAGCACTTCAGTTTTGCAAAACATGTATTTTATAATTCTTATTTTGTATTCAACAATAGTGCTCTCTCTGGCTTTCAGAGTTTTTCCAGTTTCTCTGATATTTCAAAAAGTTATGGTGTTGTCATTTTATAGTTTAACATGAGTGGTTCTCACTTCATTCAAAAGAAACAGGATACCTTGAAAACGATGTGGCCAACCTCTAGAAATGAAAATTATTATTGCTTAATAATAGTAATACCTAATATATGCAGGGGCAGAAGCCTGGTTGAGCATGTATATACATCAATCATTTAATTCTCATAGCCCTTACATGGCCAAACTAAGTCTTGGAGATATTAAGAATTTTTTCTACAGTAATACAAAATTAAATTTCTGGAAGTCTGGCACATTTTGTCAATCCTGAAGAATACAGAATAAACGTTTATTTATTCACCTATTCAATTATTCAACAAATGTTTCCTGGCAGACTAGTAAGTAGCAGGCTTAGAGTTAGACATGAGAATACAAACTGAAATAAGTTTTGATTCCTGTCCTCAAGGACCTTACATTCTAGTTTGGAAGAGAGACTATTAAATAAACCTACAGTGTTAAGATAGATACTTACAGCCCCAGGTAGTGGTATAGGATCCCTGAAGAGTATGAAATTGAAACTATTTTCTTCTAATTAATAAACATTTATAACAGTAACAGAGTAGAAAACACTTGGCAAGCCTATCTGAATAATAATTATTCTGTCTTTATGGTACCAACATAAAATAAGGGTAAAAAGCATAACATTTAAAAAAAAGTAATTATGTAATATAGTAATTTCAAAAACGTTCATGGAATTGAGCTTTTACTTAGGATTCGTGTAGGTGCAACCAAATTGCAACTATGCTCACTTAAGGGTCCCAGTTTGCAACAATGATTCAAAAGCTCAATTCTGATCATAGCTATATCAAAAGATTGTTGGTGTTTCCAGGGGCAAAACTGAGTCTGATAAATATATACTCAATAACTGAAATAAATAGATTCAGTATTTCAATGGAATGACTGGCATCCACTTTCTATCTAATGAAAGGCCAATATCAATTATTAAACGCTAAAAATTACTACTGGGAGTGCAAAACTGAAAACCTCTTCCAAAGAAATATGAAATTTAAATCTGGCAATTTTATTTAAAAGAGCTTCAAAGTGTAAAAACAGAGCTTTCTCTTTACATAAATACTTACGATAAGTAATTTATCTTCTTTATAGAACAGACAACAGACCAAGACAACTTTTCGCACCTTGGTGGATGCGCTCTGAATGCCAAGCCAGGCACCACAGTCATTACTACCAAAGGGGAAGTAATAAATTTACTGTCTATACGAAGACTTTCAGGTCTGTCCCATGTAGGTGAAAAATAGCGCGACTTTTAATCTCTCATCATTAACGCCATTAAACTCTATATTAAATTCTGTGCTGATGAAAATTTTTTTTAAATGTATGTTAGTATTGTGTTTCCTTACACTCATTTATTACAGAGTGTTATGGTTTCTATTTGCAATTCTGTCTTTTCTATAAAATTTTCAGTTTCTTGAGAGCAAAAACTGGTTGCCACAATGACCAGTATATAGTTGGTGCTAAAAACACATATGTTGAATAAAATTGAATACATATTCCTAATTTCAAAGTAATTGTACATGTTACAATGTACTTAAAAAACAGAAAAATTGCCAGTTTCACATTCACTATCTTTATTGATGGGTTCAAGTCTATGAAATTTTTGCCTATCATATATCCCAAAGCACAATAAAGCAGTTTCAAAGACATTTTAACACACTTAAGAAAAGGAGCTTCTGAATTAAAGCCCACCACTTTCATATTAACATTAATACATTTTGATTCCATATAGTCACAATAGAGTTTATAAGACTTGTCCAAATCGAAGCTGAAAAATGTTATGATGGCCATTCACTTTTAATTAAATACAAGCATTAAAAGAAATACTATTTATATTAGCAATAGAAAACAGAACTTCTAAATCACTTATAAGATTCAGGATTTTATTTTCTTACTCTTCTAAAATAGTTCATTTAACTTTTATTTGTATTTTTCTAAAATTTATCAGCCACCAACTTACAGTGTGAGCCCACTCAGAGAAAAATTTAAATCATCAGGATAATAATTAATATTTATAAAACAAGGTATTTATAGAAAGCTTTTTTATATGTATACTATTAATTATACATGGTATTTTATCACTCTCACTATAATAATATTTTAATTAAAACCTTGCCTTGAAAGATAATTTGGGATATCTCAAAAAAGTAAAGTTCTATATGATAAAAGAATGTTAACTATTTTCTGTAAGCAATCTTAAGCTTTTTAATTTACCAAAATAAACACATTCAATATAAGTTTCATGTGATATGTTGATTTGGAGTTTGCTAACAAAATAGTCATATATGCATACAGTGGAAAATACATAAATTTAAAACATATCCAGATTAAGTGAAGCTTACAAATGGAGACAATTCATATATATTTATCATTGTTAGATAAATTAGTAATTAGTACATTGTGCATTCTAGAAAAACAAAAAGCATATTCTTTGTCTAGGTTCAATAATAGTCATCTGAAATATGCTCTGTACCTGTGGATGAAATAAGTAAAAGAACATAAAATGTATGAATAAATAGGGTGAAATTTACAGAGACTACTTTTGCTGTCTTGTGATTCGGTCATTTATGAGTGTTAAGGATTTTTCTCAGTACAGTTCAGAATATTAATCAATGCCTTCTACTTACAGGAGGGTCTGCATCTTCAGCATAAACTGTTGTGATAGGTGTACCCTTGACTGCATCCGGAGCCACCATCCCTTTGTATATTCGTTTACTAAAGACAGGAGGATAATCATTCATATCCTGTAAAACACAATTAGGAGTTTAGTACTTCAGTTGAAACCAGGTTAGGGATACAGTTACTAGATTGACTCCCAGTCTTCATATCACACAACTTATTTACCACTGTCAGCCTTCCATCCTCTCAATTCCATTACTCTCATTTCAGACTGGCACCTCAGAGGAAACTGCCAGAGTTCTCATACAATATTAATGTGTGGATATCAACTGAAGGCCGTTCCACTGGAATAAAGTCTTTCACCCTCAAAAACATGCCTTTTGGAGACTGAAGTGACCCTGGAATTTTTTTCTAACTTCTAATGGTAAGAGGTAAAATTTTAACATTTGAAAATAAGAACAAGTTTCTTTAAAAGCTACATTCTGTGAAGCAGGCGTAAAAGATTTTTTTTAAATGCTCTTTATATGTTTTTATAGCAATGTAAATTATTTTATATACTTAGCATAATACTGACTAGAACATTTCAGATACAAACTGTGAAATATCCTTTGTTGCCATTTTACATGATAAAAGGAGATTTTCTCTGCAGCGCACTAAAATAATGACACTTAAGATTAGATATATTTATACACAGAAAACAATGTTAATTTACTGAATTTTTTTCAGAGCAACTTATATGTATCTTATTTTTCCAATTTGGCGCTATATATGCATTGTTATTCATGCATTGTCAAGTTCATTAAATAAATAGTTATCAGGTATTTCCCACTTTCATCAGATATTTAGCACTTCAGTGCGAGGCACTGAAGATACTGTTGTGACTCAAGAAAAAGATGTCCCTGTCTTTGTGTCACTTAACTGCCATTAGGCTAGTAAAAATACTAATCTGCAGAAAGGCTAGTAACTTTGACTAAATTAATCTACTTATCAGGGCCAAAATAATAAATCAAGTCCCCTGAAAGGAAGACCATATTTTTCTGAATCATTTTATCTTTTAGAGATAATTGTATATAATCTTTTGTCAATAAATAATGCTTATTCATATGGCAGATTTATTTATTTATAATATTTTAATAATCCTTACCCTACCGTGTTTTGGGTAGTGTGGGTCAAACATATTTGAACTGAAACCTAAATTTGTTAATTATCTGCTCTTCTCCTCCAAGTCCCCTTTTTCTCACTTGCTAGTAAAAACAAAATTTAAAAAATTCTACATATTCTTTGATATTTGCTTAGACACAACAATTTTCCTGTACAGTATTAAGCTGGAAACACATAAATTAACAGATCTCAAACTTCTCTTTTTGCAAAGAAGTCAGAATAATTATTTCTTACTATCAAACAATGCTTCCTTTTATATTCGCCATAGAGTTGAGTTCTGAGTAGTCAATATGAATAAACCTGCATATTCTAATAGGAGAACTTGAACTGTACACAAAACTGAAAAATAAAAAATATCATTTCTTCTGTTTTGAAATACAGTATTCACCATCTCTTCTATGAAAAATATTTTTACAATAAATTATGGACTTTAGAATCTGAACAAGTAAATGAACCGAGAAGTTTTAGTTCTCTATAATGAGGACTGTGAAGGGTATTGATCTTGAGGCTCCATGCAGGGAGTAAATATATAAAACATTAGCATTCACACATTTTCGTGCCCTTTCCAAGAGTGCCAATTAACTTAATAAGTGGATGTGGTAACTAAGGGTGTGGAAATCCTTTAGCACCCCTAAATTGTAACTTCTGAAGGTTCGAAAGGAAGGAGCCCAACACTGCAATGTTTCCATGCATGAGTTTCCAATGAGCTCATTATGTTCTTAAAAATTTTATTCTTTATTTTATTCTCAGGGGAAATTTAAAACCTTAATGTCACAAGGTACTTTTTGGAAAATTTGATTCTTCAGAAACAAAAAAAATGTATATACTTTTCCAATTATGTCAACACAGCTGTTCACAGTGTTGAATATGATGAACTTTTTATTTGCTTGGGAAGTATTCATTGGATTCACCTTCTAACTTGAATGTACAGTGATTCACAAACTGATTAGACACACACCTAAGACTGTAAATGACTGAAGCCTATGAAAAGATTGGTTCTCTTCCCCCTTTATTTTCTATTGACAGGATGAAGAATAAATTAATGTAGTTATTGTAGTAGTATTTCTTTTTATGGCACGTTGTACATACTTTGGGGTTATAATCTTTCATTGTGGTTACAAAAGCAGCTAGTTGCATATAGTTTTTCCACAATGCATTATTTCAAGAGGAGAAATGTATTGAAATGCAATTCCAACAAGCATAATCAATAGTTCACTGTATTTATGCTCAGGGACATCTGAACAAAAATGTATATAAATCGGCTTCTGTGCAAATGTTCTCTTGTGCAGTAAATTAAGGACTCGCTCAGCACTCCAAAACCATGCTCTTTTCTCTTGCCCATTATTCCACTAGAGGGTAGTATTAGCAAAAAGAAATATTTCCTCCTCTGTAGTTAAGAATTGTATCACTAAAACCCATAATATTTGTTTCTTTTGGTAAAAATTTTTATTGGTCTCAACAAAAAATAGTTTTAATGCTTCAAAAGAGTATTCTGAATGTTATGATTTACAACTTGAAAAACCTTATGGTTTTTTTCTTAAGGAAAACTTTAAAAAATGGTTATACTCATAAAGCCTGCAATTTGTTTCCATGTGTCAAGCAAATAAAATTATACCTGAAGGTGTAGGTAGCTAACAGGAGAAAACTATGTTTTATTTATTTATTTGCTACATTAGAGTCTGTAATAATCACAGAAACCTTTTCTCCTTTAGCAGACTACCAAGAAGATGTAAGGAATCTTTTTAATGATCATGCTAGGAAGATAAGAACTTGCTGGTAAGTTTGTAAATGTAATGACAAGTTGAAGTTCTACACACACAAAAAAAATAAAAATAAAGAGAAAAAGATGATAAAATTTTTGATTTTCTGGAATCACAGGCAAAAACCTATAGAACAGTTTTTATTTAGAAGATAAGTAGAAAGTTCTAACTAGTTGGAACTTGATCATCTTTTTAAAAATAACGTGTAGGCTGGGCACGGTGGCTCGCATCTGTAATTCCAACACTTTGGGAGGCTGAGGTGGGCGGATCACCCAAGGTCAGGAGTTCGAGACCAGCCTGGCCAACATGGCGAAACTGTGTCTCTACTAAAAATACAACAATAAGCCTGGCATGGTGGCGGGCACCTGTAATCCCAGCTACTCGAGAGGCTGAGGAAGGGAGAATTCCTTGAACCCAGGAGGCGGATGTTGCAGTGAGCCGAGATCGCGCCATTGCACTCCAGCCTGGGTGACAGAGTGATACTCAGTCTCAAAAAAAAAAAAAAAAAAAAAGATATGTATATAGCAAATGCCAGTCCTTACCATACTAAAGCTAATTCAGGCTCTATGAGGAGACACAGACAGTATAAGCCAATGGGCGGAATGACTTTAGTTGTTTCTGTCTTATGGTCTAGCATTAGCATTATCCTTGTTGAGCTATATGGCTGCTCTATAATGCCTTGAGGTTTATGGAGCCGATACCTACTTTTACGTGGGTGTATGGTTGATTGTTTGCCTCTTACCAGTTCTGTTTTCCACTACTAGACACTTTCTATTTGCTGTCCAAGTTGCTGTTTCTCATATTTCTCATATTATTAGCATTCTGCTGGGTTTTTTTCTCTCTCAATTTCTGTATTGTCTCCTTGTCTTTACTGACTTATTTCCCTTCTTTTATGCTTCTGCATAAAAAGTCATAAAAGGCTACATCTGCAGCTAAAGAAAATATTTGATATTTTTACTGCCAGGCTAGGCATATTCACCACAAGCTGATTTAAGAGGCCATGGGCCATAAGTGAACATTGGTGGTAGCCTGGCAGTACTCCCCAAGGGTCTTTGATAGTGGCACAGGGTAAGGCTCCTCTGCTTGTGGAGAAGGACTGTTTCTCATAGGTTGAGTGCCTGCTCAGCCACAGTACACAAGAACACAAGGTAGAATTCTAAGGTTTTGACTTCCAGACGGTAACTTTGAACCTGTTCAGGGCCTGGGAGATTTTTGCCACCCTGAAGGGAAAGACACAGGTCTGGCTGGCTTTGCCACCTGCTGATTATAGAGACCCATGGCCTTGAACAAACTTAAGTGGTAGCCAGGGTGGTTACAGCAGGTCTTGGACAAGACCCAGTGCTGTGCTGGGTTTAGGTCTGACCCACTGCAGTCCCAGCAGTGGGGTCCACAGGGGTGCTTGTGTCACCCCAACCCCAGCTCCAGGTGGCTCCAAACAGAGACACTCTGTCTGGGAGAGAGCAAGGGAAAAGAACAGGAGTTTCTGCCTGGTAATTAAGGGAATTCTTCTGGATCTTATCCAAGACCATTAAGGTAGTAAGAGTCTGCCAAGAACCACAGTGTTACTGGGCTTGTGGTGCCTCCTAAAGCAGATACAGCTTTAGCAACACCTACATCCTTTCAAATACCTGAAAAGCTTTCCAAATAACAAATACGAAGAAGTCCAGACTGTGAAGAATACAATAAATACCCAACGCTTAAATGCCCAGACACAGACAAACATCCACAAGCATCAATATCATCCAGGAAAACATGAAGTCACCAAATGAACTAAACAAGCCACCAGAAACCAATCCTGGGGAAACAGAGAGAGTGATCTTTCAGACAGAGAATTCAAAATAGTTGTTTTGAGAAAACTCAAAAAATTCAAGATAACACAGAGAAGAAATTTAGAATTCTATCAGATACATTTAACAAAGAGATTGAAATAATTTTAAAAATCAAGAAGAAATTCTGGAGTTGAAAAATGCAACTGACACCCTGAAGAATGCATCAGTTTTTTAATAGCAGAATTGACCAAGCAGAAGAAAGAATTAGTGAGCTTGAAGACAGCCCATTTCAAAATACACAGTCAGAGGAGGCAAGAGAAAAAAAAGAACAAAATCAATGAAACATGACTACAAGATCTAGAAAATGGCCTCAAAAGGGCAAATGTAAGTGTTATTGGCATTAAAGAGGAGACAGACAAAGAGATAAGGGTAGAAAGTTTATTAAAAGGAATAATAATGAAGAACTTCCCAAACCCAGAAAAGGATATCAATATCCAAGTACAAAAGATTATAGAACTACCAGCAGATTTAACCCAAAGAACACTAGCTCAAGTTATTTAATAATCAAACTCCCAAAGGTCAAGGATAAATAAAGGATCCTAAAGGAGTAAGAGAAAAGAAACAAATAACATACAATGGAGCTCTAATACATCTGGCAGCAGACATTTAGCAGAAACCTTACAGGCCAAGAGAGAGTGGCATGTCATACTTAAAGTGCTGAAGGACAAAAAAAATTCCTAGAAGAGTATATCTGGTTAAAATATCCTTCAAACAGGAAGGAGAAATAAAGACTTTCCCAGACAAATAAAAGCTGAGGGATTTCATCAACACCAGACCTGTCCTATAAGAAATTCTAAAGAAAGTTCTTCAATAAAAAAAGAAAGTTCGTGAGTAATAAGAAATCATCTGAAGATACAAAACTCACTGGTAATAGTATGTACACAGGAAACACAGAGTATTATAACACTGTAACTGTGGTGGTGTATAAAATATTCTTATGTTAAGTAGAAAGACTAAATTATGAAACAAAAATAACTACAATCACTTTTCAAGACATAGTAAAATAAGGTATAAATAGAAACAATAAAAACTTAAAAAGCATGGAGATGAAGTATAGAGTTTTTATTAGTTATTTTTTCTTGTCTGTTTATGCAAACAGTGTTGTTATCAGCTTAAATAAAGGGTTGTATGATAGTATTTGCAAGCTTGATGATAACCTCAAACCAAAAAATGTACAATAGATACATAAAAAATAAAAAGTCAACAAAATCAAAGCACCAGAGTATACTACCTTCACTTAAAGGAAGACAGGAAGGAAAGAAAGAAAGAAGACAAACCATAAGACAACCAGAAAGCAAATAACAAAATGGAAGCAATAGGTCCTTAGTTATAAAAAATAACATTGAATGTAAAGGGATTAAGCTCTCTAATCAAATGACATAGAGTGGATGAACGGATTAAAGAAAAAAAAGACAAAATGATCTGTTGCCTACAAGAAACACACTTCACCTATAAAGACACACATAGACTGAAAATAAACACATGGAAAAATATATTCCATGCTAATGGAAACCAATAAACAGCAGGAATATCTGCAATTACAGGAAACAAAACAGATTTCAAGACAAAAACTACACAGAGAGACAAAGAAGGTCACTATATAATGATAAATGTATCAATTTATCAGGAAGATATAACAATTGTAAATATATATACATATATGTATATATATACATGTATATATATACATATATGTATATATACATGTGTATACATACATATGTATTCAGTGTGTGTGTGTATATATATATACACATACACACACACATATATATTTTCAACATTGGAGAGCTCAAATATATAAAGCGAATATTATTAAAGCTAAAGAGCCAGATACATCCCCAAACAAAAATAGCTGGAAACTTCAACATCCCACTTTCAGCACTGGACAGATCTTCCAGAAAGAAAATCAACAAAGAAACATCAGACCTAATCTCCACTGTAGAACAAATGGATCTAACAGTTACTCATAGAGCATTTCATCCAACACCTGCAGAATACACATTCTCCTCAGCACATGGATCATTCTCAAATACAGGCCATACCTTAGGTCACAAAACAAGTCTTAACACATTAAAAACTTTGAAATAATATCAAGTATCTTCTCTGACCACAACAGAATAAAACTAAAAATCAATAACAACATAAATTTTGGAAATTATACTAACACATGGAAATTAAACAATACATTACTGAATAACCAGGGGTCAATGAGGAAATTGATAAGAAAATTGAAAACTTTTTTGACCAAATGATAATGAAAATACAAAGTATCAAAACCAATAGTGAGGTGTGGAGTTGGCAGGACTTCCTGGGTTGATTTGGGGACTTTCACAAAAGACCCCTGTGACTCAGGGTTTTGAGTTCTTAATCAATAAAGTGAAGGATTCAAAGTTAACCACTCCAAGGGAGGATTGAAAAAAGAGCCACTCTCAATGGACAAAAAGAAAGAAAGGGGAGGGGGTAACACAGGGATATAAGTCCTAGCCACCACAGCCAGCAGTGGCAACCCTTCCAGGTCCCCTTCCACCATGTGGAAGCTTCCCTTTCGCTTTGTTCAATAAACTGTGCTGCTGCTCACTCTCCTGGTCTGTGGACTCTTTTTGAGTTGTAACACTCACTGTGAAGGTCCGCAGCTTCATTCTTCGAAGTTAGCAAGACCACGAATCCATCAGCAGGAAAAACTCTTGATTCAATAGGATATACTGAAATTTTTACTACGTGGGAAATTTATAGCTATAAGTGCCTACATCATGAAAGGAAAAAAACTTCAACTAAACAAAACAACCTAATGATGCATCTTTAAAAACTAGAAAAGCAAGAGCAGGCTGAAGCCAAAATTAGTAGAAGAAAATAAATAATAAAGATCAGAGCAGAAATAAATGGATTTGAAATGAAGAAAACAATAAAAAGATCAATGAAACAGAAAGTTTGTTTTTTTAAAAAGTTATATAAAATTGACAAACCTTTAGCCAGACTAACTAAAAAAGAAGAGAGAAGACCCAAATAAATAAAGTCAGATATGAAAAAGAAAACATTACAACTAATACTGCAGAGATTCAAGGGATCATTAGTGGCTACTATGAACAAACATATGTCAATAAATTGGAAAATCAAGAAGAAACAAATAAATTCCTAGACACACACAACCCATCAAGATTGAACTATGAAGAAATCCAAAACATTGAACAAACTAGTATCAAGTAACAAGATATAGCAAATAACAAGTATCAAGCTGTAATGAAAAGTCACCTAGCAAAGGAAAAGCCAGAACCTGATGGTTTTGCTACTGAATTCTACCAAATATTTAAAGAAGTACTAATACTAATCTTACTCAAACTATTCCAAAAAAAAAAAAAAAAAAAAAAAAACAGGAGGAGGGAATACTTTCAAACTCATTCTATAAAGACAATAATACTGATACCAAAGCTAGACAAAGAGACATCCAAAAAAGAAACTATAGGCAATCTCCTTGATGAATATTGATGCAAAATTCCTCAACAAAATAATAACAAAGAAATTCAACATCGTATTTAAAAGATCATTAATCATGACCAAATAAGATTTATCTCAGGGATACTAGGATGGTTCAATATATTCAAATCAATCAATGTGATATATCATCAACAGAATGAAAGAGAAAAACCATATGATCATTTCAATTGATTCTGAAAAAGCATTTAATAAAATTCAATGCTCTTTCATGATAAAAACCCTCAAAAACTGGGTGTAGATGGAACATACCTCAACATAATAAAAGTGATATATGACAAACCCGTAGCTACTCCCATACTGAATGAGGAAAAACTGAAAGCCTTTCCTGTACGATCTGGGACACAACCAGGATGCCCACTATCACCACTGTTATTCAATATAGTACTGGAAGTCTTAGCAAGAACAATCAGAAAAGAAAACAAAATAATGATCATCTAAATTGGAAAGGAAGAAGTCAAATTATCCTTGTTTGCAAATGATAAAATCTAACACTTGGAAAAACCTAAAGACTACACACACACACACACACACACACACACACCACACAAAGTATTAGAACTGATAAATTTAGTAAAGTTGCAAGATACAAAATCAACACAGAAAAATCAGTAGCATTTCTATATGCCAACAGTGAACAATCCGCAAAAGAAATCAATAAAGTAATCCCATGTAAAACAGCTACAATTAAAATAAAATACCTAGGAATTAACCAAGGAAGTGAAAGTTCTCTGCAATGGAAACTATAAAACATGGATTCAAGAAAATGAAGAGAACACAAAAGAATGAAAAGATATCTCATGGTCATGGATTGCAATAATCAATATTGTTAAAATGTCCATACTACTCAAAGCGTTCTACAGATTCAATGCAATCCCTGTCAAATACCAATGACATTCTTCAAAGAAACAGAAAAAAAATTCTAAACTGTGTATGGAAGTACAAAAGACCTAGATAGCCAAAGCTATATTAAACAAAAGGAAAAAAAAAAACACCTGGAGGAATCACATTATCTGACTTTAAATAATATTACAGAGCTATAGTAAACAAAATAGGATGGTACTGGCATAAAAAAAAAAAACACACATATATCCATGGAACAGAATTGAGAACCCAGAAATAAATTTACACAACTACAGCAAAGTCAATTTTGACAAAAGTGCCAGGAATGTAACCAGGGAAAGGACAGTCTCTTCAATAAATGATGCCAGGAAAACTGGATATCCATATGCAAAAGAAGAAATTAGGCCCCATCTCATGCCATATACAAAAATCAAATCAAAATTGATTAAAGATATGAATCTAAGACCTCAAACTATGAAATGACTGAAAGAAAACATGCGGAAACTCTCCAGGAGATAGGACTAGGCAAAGATTTCTTGAGTAATACCTCACAAGCACAGGCAACCAAAGAAAAATGAACAAATGGGATCACATCAACTTAAAAAGCTTCTGCACATCAAAGGAAAGAATCAACAAAGTAAAGAGACAACCCACAGGGTGAGCGCAAATATTTGCCAACTACCCATCTGACAAGGAATTAAACAGAATATATAAGCAGTTCAAACAACTTTGTAAGAAAATATCTAGTAATCTGATTTTAAAATGGGCAAAAGTTCTAAACAAAAATTTCTCAAAAGAAGACATACAAGTGATAAACCGGTATATAAAAAGGTGCTCAACATCATTGATCATCAGAGAAATGCAAATCAAACTTACAATGAGACACCATCTTACACCAGGTAGAATGGCTTTTATCTAAAAGTCAGGCAATGGCAAATGCTAATAAGGATGTGGAGAAAAGGAACCCTCACACACTGATGGTGGGAATGCAAATTAGTACAACCACTATGGAGAACAGTATGGAAGTTCCTATAAAACTAAAAATAGAGCTATCATACGATCCAGAAATCCCACTACTAGATACATGGCCAAAAGAAAGGAAATCAGTATATGAAAGAAATATCTGCACTCCCATGTTTATTGCAGCACTATTTACCATGGCCAAGATTTGGAAGCAACCTAAGTGTCCATCAACAGAATAATGGAGAAAGAAAATGTGGTACAGGTACACAAGGGAGTACTATTTAACCATAAAGAAGAATGAGATCCTATAATGTGCAACGACATAATCAATGAAGGTTAAAAGTATATGAGAGAGGCACTTTCTGGTGTCTCCCAGAAACCAGTGGGTGATATTTATGGAGCCATGGGAGAGATTCTTTACTACGTAGATATACTATTTTTAATCCTGGACATGCACATTTTCTTTGTTTTCTCTGGTTTGGATTTTTATAGGAAATATGTTATATCTTAGTCCTAAAACTCTAGAATAGTAGAATTAAAGATATTTTCTCCTGCTATCACCAAGTTCACTGACAAATATAATATAAAGAACACACCAATAGGAATCTGAAAATGCGGACTAGAAGAGAGGGAAACATTTGAAAGCCATACTTCAAAGCAACCCCAACAGAACAATTAGCAAGTTGTAAAAAACAATATTAAATCTGACCATACACCAACTAGCTGGTTCACAGAAATTATCATTTATTCAAATTCCCACCTCCAGACAATACCTCTTACCTCCATACAATAGGTATGCTGTAGATGAAATGTCCAGAATTTCTGTTTTGTTTGAGTCTGGGACAACCTCCTGGTCTCTCAAGCATCAGCTTTTCTGATGAAATCAAAAGCAGGACCCTATCAACACTGTCATGATGGAGCATCAGTAGCACGTAACTGCCTCTCAGGTGTCCACGGTTTCACAAATGCTGCCTTGGTACTGGGCACTGAGTTTTCATCTAGAAAAGCTATCCTTTTTCTTCTATTCTATGGGGTAGCAATATTTCTTTCTGGAGAAGAAAACTCCTCTGAAAGGTGGAAATCTTAGCTTCATTTTCCAAGACTCACTGTGTTTAACAACAACCTCAGCCCTTGTTACAAGGTGAACCTGATGATACTTCATTTCTCGTCATTTCACCCCTCCCTGCCTACTCCCACACCTGCACACTAAGACAGGCAAACACAACCAAGGGTCAATCTAGTCTCCCGTCTTCACAGAAGCATGTCTCCCTCTCTCCTACTCCCATGCAGCCATTCTATCCAAAATTATAATGAGCAAAATGACTTGGGTCATCTGTTTATCTCAGACAAGTTCTTTATACTCCTTATAATGCTGCTTAGTATAATATATCCATTTACATATTCAGCTTTTCAGATTCATATTCAGTTTTCAGTTTGCTGTAGAACAGCCCTTTTCTTTCTGTGTATTTTCTATATTATGTTACAACGCAGACTCTAAGACCAGGTTTCTATTATAACTTAGTTTGTAAGGCTAGTTATCACTCTGGATCTTTTAAAATTGTTTAGAATTTTATTTTCACTTTCCAGAGATTTGCTTATATCATCTAATTTACTATCATCACAGATTCAGTTCTTCTAAATATTTAGTATATCTAGAAATATACAAGAAAAATATTTACAAGTAAAATACACAAGAAAATATCTCTAATTTACTATCATCACAGATTCAGTTCTTCTAAATATTTAGTATATCTAGAAATATACAAGAAAAATATCTACAAGTAAAATACACAAGTAAATATCTTGTATATACAAGGAAAAAGCCTTGTTACATTGATGTTCTATAAAATCTTTTCAAGAAAAAATGTATGTTATTTGTTTGATCATCACAGGTTTTGTTTTGGATTCTTAAAACTTGACACTAAGAAAGCTGTGTGCAGATGTCTTGATAAAAATTTTTATTTATACTGTGGAAATATTGTTTTTCCAAATAATACTTGAATTTTCCCATTCTTGCTCCAATTTTAAACAGGTTTGATGGACTAGGCATTAAACACTTCATCTTTTATTTTTTCCTCTTGTTTACAAAAGAAATTATGTTTCTGCTCATTTTGAAAGAAAGAACTTCAAGATGTTTTCCTGTGGTGACTTTTTGGGTCCAAGTATCTCCTAGCGAATACCATACAATTATGTTATCAACAAAACAGCTTTTCAGTACTGCGAGTAATTAGACCAAGTATAGACAATTTGAAAAGCTGGTAAAGACTACATTTGTAGAGAACTGAGAATTGTACTCCATTCTTCTCTTAAAAAAAGGATAATAATATTTTATGGGCCTCAGTAGTATATACTAGAATTTTAAAGTTATATTTGTGATAATCCCCACCCTGAGTTATCAGAAAAGAGGAAAGCAAGTGTCAGTCTACATTTGGGAGAATTTCCTACAAATTTTATTATGCTTAGATGAACTTGGAATAAAAAAGTGGTATTACATATGTCTAGAGTTAAATGTTAAGTTTTGCTTTAAATGTATAATAAATAGGCAATGACTTTGCATGAGTCAGGACGCCTTGACCAAAGGAATGGTGTGATTTCTCTAAATAAGATAAAGCAATTGATACAACACGAATTAAACCAACACTCTTCTCTATCTGAGGAATAAATTATCTTCCAGCTGCTGATGTAGAAGCGTTAAGTAATACCCCCATATTGAAATAAAGGGATGTTGAGGCAACATTAAGAACTTTTTTAAAGAGGTATGAGGCCCAGATACAGAATGAGGGTTACTTAGGGCATATCTTGCTTTTTGAGGTGATAATTTTGGACATAATTTAACTCCCCTAACATTTTCCATCAAAACAAGCCAAGCAAATATATCCAAATTGAATCCAGAGCTGCCAAGTCAGAATCTATGAGTGTTTACCATAACTGTCTGTCATCA
Source organism: Homo sapiens (assembly GCF_000001405.40). NCBI lineage: Eukaryota > Metazoa > Chordata > Mammalia > Primates > Hominidae > Homo > Homo sapiens. Next base: position 54,008,630 of record NC_000010.11, read on the forward strand.
ACCACACCCTCATCAGAGAAAAGGCCACACCATTTGAGGATCTATTTTTCGATCTGGGAAGAAAAGGGGAAATGTCATTAATAGCAAGTCTTTTTTTTCTCTTCTTTGTCCAAAATCATCAATAAATGAATTATTTTTCTATTTTTAATGTTTTAACTGTTCAATTCCACCAAGTCATATGAGTAGACAAGAGTAAACCAAGGCAAATTTTTCACCTGGTCCAGAAGATATTTTGCTATTTAGTCTATATAGATCACTCTCACCTTAGTCTTTTTCATCTGCTTACATATTATGGCATCTTCATAACCACCAATATTATATTCCCTAAATATTTTTGTAACAGATTTCTAAATGTTATAACACAATAGTGTGACAAAATCATATTTCAAAATACAATACAATCAAAGCCCTCCCTTCAGGCAATCCATAATTTTGTCTTGTCCCTTGATCCTTTTTCCAGACCACTAGAGCACTGATAATTATTGTCTCGGGAAAGAGAGGTATGAAAAGAAAAATCAGGTTACCCCAGAAAAGATTTTGACAGTTTGAGTTCCTATTTCCAAAGAAAATTTAGTACTGAATAAAGTTTTAATTTCCTGAAATAGACACATTTCTTACCTCCTGAAATAAATATCTTAGGACAGAGAGACACAAGAACGGAATAATTAAGTATATAGACATGTGGACCCCCGAGAAATAAAGAACCCAGATCCTGATAAAACTCTCCCAACAGGTTTAGGGTGTCCGAGGATGGAAGGAGCTTACGATCTCCATTCCAAGGTAGTTTAGAGGTGGAAACAGTATCCATAGAAGAAATGGCATCAATTTGTGTGCTAGCAGATAATCCAGGTCAAGTGTAAAAAAAGACAGCGAAAGAGGTGGGGGCCAAGAGAACTAACTAGAGGGAGCTGGTGTGTGTCAATCTCATTGAGAAAAGAAAGGCTGGCGAGTGGACACTAGCTCATCTGAAAAATCCAGGTGGAGACACACTGGAATTCATCAGGAAACAGCATAACACATAGAGAACAGAGGAGAGCAAGACAAGACAACTGCCCACCCTGGGGTGGCACAGAGTCAGGGGAGTCCTCCCACTGTGGAGAAACAGTGAGTAAGTGAGTCCCTGGGGACCCACCTTCTGCCATGGACTTTTGCATCCCTGGACTCAGGAGATCTCCCCCATGAGCTCCCCACCGGTGCCTCCAGGCTGACACGGAGAACCATGTGGAGTCTTGGCAGAGCCATACTCAGGCACACAGGGAGTCCCAGGAGACTTGTATCCCCAGACACTCTGGCACCAGTGGCTGTAGCTCCTGCAGCAGTGGAGGCCAGACTTGCATGCCTCCAGTAAAGGGGCCAAATCCACGAGGCTGAGCAGTGAAACATTGCAGGCCTCATCTCAGCTGCACCTTGCAGGATAAGGCCTACTGTCCATTCCAGCCCCACCTGAGTTCCTGGGTCGGGAGCAGCTCTGTACTTCTCTGGGACGGAGCTCCCAGAGGGAGAGGCTGGCTGCCATTTTTGCTGCTCTGCAACCCTCCCTGTTTTTGCTCTTAGGCTTGGGAGGGACAGGGATTAGGGACTAATGCCGACCCCCAACACAGCGCAGTTTCCTTACAGAAAAGCGGGTAGGCTGTTTTCCATGTGGGTCCACACCCTTGCTACTTCTCACCGGGCAGGGCTTCCCAACCTAGGACCTCGGCAACCCCCGACCTGGGCTCTTGGGCCAGTAGCAGCTCTGTACTTTCCTGGGACAGAGCTCCCAGAGGGCAAGGCAGGTCACCATTTTTTGCTGCTCCACAGTCCTCATTCCTGTTGCCCTCAGGCTCAGGAGGGAATGTGGTGGTTGGAGACTGATGCAAACGCCCAGCACAGCACGGCAGCATTACAGAAAAGCAGCTAGACTGCTTTCTATGCAGGTCTCTGCCTCTGCTACTCTTTACTGCCCAGTGCCTCTGGACTTGGGCCCCTAGCACAACCACCTTGTCAATGCCTAACACTTCAGTCAGTGGTGAGAAAACCCCAGAGACAATCCACAACCTCTCTGTGACTGCAGCTACCCTTGGGCTGGGGAGGAACAAAGGGCTTGGCCACTATGCAGGAACTCCAGCACACCACAGCCACAATATGGACAGAAGCCCAGTGTCTGTTTCCCGTGAGCCCCCACCTCTCACTCTTTACCAGGCAGTGCCTAAGCTCGGGAGCACGGAACAGCCACCCCATCTCCAGCTGAGCATTCTCACTGCTAGTGGCTTTGTGTTTCCTTAAGGAGGGGCTCCTACAGTCAACTAACAGCCACTCTGCCACTGCCACAGCAGTAGTTCTGCCCCTGCTGCCCTTGGACTGGAGAAGAAAGAAAGGGCCAAAGGTTTTACTCACTCTTCCAGGAGGACACAGTCATCATATAGAGAGAAGCCCAGACTGTCCTCCCTGTGAATCCTCAACCTCCCGTTCTTTACCCAGCTCAGGCCAGCAGTGCAGCCACCCCACTCCCTGGCTGGACATTCCCAGTAGGAGCAGTTTTGAGTTTCCCTCAGGTTGAGCACCCAGGGACAACCGAAAGCCCCTCTACCACTGCTGCTGCAGTGATATTGCCCTTGCTGCCCTCAGACTGTGGAGGGAGCAAAGACCCTGAGTGCTTTAGCCACACCTCCAGACAGCTGCATCACCCACAAGCTTGGTCCTACAATGCAGCCACCACACCCCAGGCTGACTGTACTGATTAGTAGTGGCTCTGTATTTTTCTGGGGTGGAGCACCAAGAGACAAGTGAAAGGCCATCTGCCACAGCCACAGCCAAGGTCCCTTCCCTTGTTGTGTCTAAGCTGGGGAAAGAACATAAAGCCTGAGCTTGCCCCAGAGCTACAATGTGTAGCCTGGGAGTGCCAAACAGATATACAGCCAGCAGTCAAGTGCAAAAGGAGCCGACACTTTCAGATCACTGAGAAGGGGCACAACAATCCTTAGGAAATAGAGGAGACTGACGAAGAGTCTACCTACTGGCCATTCCAGTTAAGTGCCATCTGCTGGATCACAGCCCAAACTTTACTATTAAAAATATTTTGCTAATATATTCTTCTGTGAAACCAAGGACAAGAGCTCAGTTACAAATAAAGGTCATGCACAAAACCTCACTCCTCTGAAAACATCTAAATAAACCAACTGACTGTACTCAAATTAGACAGTTGAAAGAACATCAGCGAACACAGATGAGAAAGAACCAGTGCAAGAACTTTGGCAACTCAAAAAACAAGTGTCTTCTTTCCTCCAAACAACTGTACTAGTTCCCTAGCCAGGATTCTTAACTCAGCTGAAATAGTTGAAATGAAAGAAATAGAATTCAGAATATGGGTAGGAATGAAAATCATTGAGAATCAGGGAGGAAGTCAAAATCCAAACCAAGGAAACTAAGGATTACAATAAAACAATACAGGAGCTGGTAGATGAAATGGCCATTATAAGAATGAACCAAAATGATCTGATAGAGCTGAAAAACACACTACAAGAGTTTTATATTGTGATTGCATTAACAGCAGAAGAGACCAAACTAAGGAAAGAATCAGAGAGCGTGAAGACTGGCTCTCTGAACTAACTAAGAAGGACAAAAGTAATAATTAAAAAAAGAATAAAAAAGAATGGACAAAACCCCTGAAACATATGGGATTATGTGAAGAGACCAGATCTACCCCTCATTGGCGTCACTGAGGGAAATGGGGAAAAAGCAGGCAACTTGGAAAACATATTTCAGGATATTGTCCATGAAAACTTCCCAACCTCACTAGAGAGGCCAATATTAAAATTTAAAAACTGCAGAGAACTGCAAGATACTATATAAGAAGACAATCCCCAAAACACATAATTATCAGATTCTCTTTCATTCTTTTTAAAATGAAAGAAAAAAATATAAAGGCAGCTAGAAAGAAAGAGCAGGAAACCTACAAAGAGAACCCATCAGGCTAACAGTGGACCTTTCAGCAGAAACCCTATAAGCCAGAAGAGATTGGGGGCCTATGTTCAGCATTCTTAAATAAAAGAATTTCAACCCAAGAATTTCATGTCCAGTGAAACTGAGCTTCATAGGCAAAAAAGAAATAAAATACTTTTCAGACAAGCAAATTCTAAGGGAATTTATTACAACCAGGCCTGCCTTATAAGAGCTCCTGAAAGGAGTGCTACATGTGAACAGCCACTACAAAAACACACTTAAATACACAGATCTCTGACACTATAAAGCAATGACATAAGTCTACATAATATCCAGCTAACAATATGATGACAGGCTCAAATTCACACACATCAATATTAACACTGAATGTAAATGGGCTAAATGACACAATTTAAAGCTGGATAAAGAAGCAAGGACCAACGTTATGCTGTCTTTAAGAGGCCCATCTCACATGCAATGACATCCATAGGCCCAAAGTAAAGGTTTGGAGAAAAGTCCACCAAGAAAACAGAAAATAGAAAAAGCTGAAGTTGCTATCCAAATTTCAGACAAAAAGAGACTTTAAATCAACAAACATCACAAAAGACAAAGATGAGCCTTACATAATGGTAAAGGATACAATGCAATAAGAAGATCTAAATATCCCAAATATATATGCATCCAACACAGGAGCACCCAGATTCATAAAGCAAGTTCTTACAGACCTACAAAGAGACTTCGATTTCCACACAATAGTGGGACATTTCAATACCCCATGGACAGTAATAGACAGATGATGGAGGTGACAAAGTGAAAAAGATATTTAGGACCTGAATTCAACAATTGAACAAATGGACATAATAGACATCTATAGAACTCTCCACCCAAAAACAACAGAATATACATACTTCTCATCACCACATGGCACATACTTTAAAATTGACCACACAATTGGACATCAAAACAATCTGTAACAAATTGAAGAAGACTAAAATCATACCAACCACACTCTCTGAACATGGTGCAATAAAAACAGAAATCAATACTAAGAAAAACATTCAAAACCATACAATTACATGGAAATTAACCACTTGTTCCTCAATTATCTCTGGGTAAACAATAAAATTAAGGCAGAAATAAAATATTTCAAACTAATGAAAACAAAGATCCAGCATACCAGAATCTCTGGGGCACAGCTAAAGCAGTGTTAAGAAAGAAGTTTATAGCACTAAATGCCCACATTAAAAAAGTCAGAAGGATATCAAATGAACAATCTAGCATCACATCTACAGGAACTAGAGAAACAAGAGCAAACCAAACTCAAAGCTAGCAGAAGACAAGAAATAACCAAAATCAGAGCTCAACTGAAGGAAATTGAGATGCAAAGACCATATAAAAGATAAATGAATTTAGGAATTATCTTAGTTATTTGAAAGAATTAATTAGATAGATGGATGAATAGCTAGACAAATAAGAAAAAAAAAGAGAAGATCCAACTAAACACAATCAGAAATGACTGACTGAATGAAAAAAGACATTACCACTGACCCCACAGAAATATAAAAGAACACTCAGAGACTATGAACACCTCTGGGTACACAAGCTAAGAAACCCAAGAGGAAATGGATACATTCCTGGAACCATTCAACCTCCCAAGTTTGTGTTAAAAAGAAACTGAATCCCTAAACAGACCAATAATGAATTTTGAAATTGAATCAGTAAATAAAGAGCCTACCAACTAGGAAAAGCCCAGGACCAGTTAGATTCACAGCCAAATTCTACCACATGTATAAAGAGCTGGTACCATCCCTACTGAAACTATTCCAAAAAATTGAGGAGGAGGCATCCCTCCCTCACTCTATGAGGCCAAAATCATCTTGATACCAAAACCTGGCAGAGACACAACAACAACAAAAAAGAAAACTTCAGGCCAATATCTTTGATGAACACAGATCCAAAAATCTTCAACAAAATACTGGCAAACCAGCAGCACATTGAAAAGCTAATCCACCACAGTCAAGTAGGTTTTATGCCTGGGATGCAAGGTTGGTTCAATATAGGCAAATCAACAGAAGTGATTCACCACAGAAACAGGACTAAAAACAAAAACTACATGATCATCTCACTAGATGCAGAAAAGGATTTCAATAAAATTCCACATACTTTCATGTTAAGAACGCTTAACAAACTAGGCATTGAAGGAACATACTTTAAAATAATAAAAGCCATCTATGACAAATGCACAGCCAACGTCACACTGAATGGGCAAAAGCTGGAGGCATTCTCCTTGAAAAGAGAAACGAGATAAGGATGTCCTCTCTTATTGCCACTCATCATAGTAATGGAAGTCCTGGCTAGAGCAATAAAGCAATAGAAAGAAAGAAAACCCACCCAATTAGGAAGAGAGGATGTCAAACTACCCCTGTTTGCAGATGATATGATTCTACACCTAGAAAACCCCATAGTCTTTGTCCAAAACTCCTTGATCTAATAAACAACTTCAGCAAAGTTTCAGGATACCAAATCAATGTACAAAAATCAGTAATAGCATTCCTATGTACCAACAACATCCAAGCTGAGGGCCAAATCAAGAATGCAATCCCATTTGCAATAGTTACACAAAAAAGTACCTAGGAATACAACTAACCAGGTGGTGAAAAATCTCTACAATGAGAATTTAAAATATTGCTCAGTGAAATCAAAGATGACAGAAACAAATTGAAAAACATTCCATGCTTGTGGATAGAAAGAATCAATATCATTAAAATGGCCATACTGCCCAAAACAAAGTACAGATTCAATGCTATTCCTATTAAACTACCAAAGGCATTATTCACAAGAAAAATGTATTCTAAAATTCATATCAAACCAAAAATAAGCTTGAATAGCTAAGACAATCCAAAGCAAAAAGAAAAAAGCTGAAGATATCACATTTCTTGACTTCAAACTATACTACAATGCTACGGTAACCAAAACGGCATTGTCCTGGTACAAAAGCAGACATATAGACCAATGGAACAGAATAGAGATCCCAGAAATAATGCTGCATACTTATAAGCATCTGATGTACAACAAAATAAATAAAAACAAGCAATGGAGAATGGACTCCCTATTCAGCAAATGATGCTGGGATAACTGGCTATACATATGTAGAAAAATGAAACTGGACCCCTTCCTTACACCATGTACAAAAATCAACTCAAGACGGATTGAAGACTTCAATGTCAAACCTAAAACTATAAAAACACAAAGATAACCTCGGAAATATCATTCTGGACATAAGCCCTGGCAAAGATTTCATAACAGAGATGCCAAAAGCAATTTTAACAACAGCAAAAATTGACAAGTGTGACTTAATTAAACTAAAGAGCTTCTGCATAGCAAAAACAAAACAAAACGAAACAAAAAAACTATCAACAGAGTAAACAGGCCACCTACAGAATGGGTGAAAATGCTTACAAACTACGCATCTGACAAAGGTCAAATATCCAGAATCTATAAGGAACTTACAAATCAACAAGCAAAAAGCAAACCTCCCACTTAAAAAGTGGGCAAAAGATATGAACGCACACTTTTCAGAAGAAGACATACATATGGTGAACAAGGATATGAAAAAATGCTCATCATCACTAATCATGAGAGCAATGCAAATCAAAACCACAATGAGATACCATCTCACACCAATCAGAATTGCTATTAAAAAGTAAAAAAGAAAAAAAAAAACATGCTGGTGAGGTTGAGGAGAAAATGGAACAAAGCAGTTTGGTGATTTCTCAAGGACCTCAAAGCAAAATGACCATTTGACCCAGCAATCCCATTTTTAGGTATATACACAAAGATAAACAAATTGTTGTACCATAAAGACACATGCACATGTATCATTAGTATCATGCTATTCACAGTAATAAAGACATGAAATCAATCAACCTAAATGCCCATCAATGGTAGACTAAATAAAGAAAATGTGGCACATATATGCCATGGAATAACTATGCAGCCATAAAAAAGAATGAGATCATGTCCTTTGCAGCAACATGGATGCAACTAGAAGCCATTATCCTAACTGAACTAACATAGGAACAGAAAACCAAATACTGCATGTTCTCACTTAGAAGCTGAAGGTAAACGTTGAGTACATAGGGACACAAAGATGGGAACAACATACATTGGGGGCTGCTTGAGGGTGGACAGATGGAGGAGAGTGAGGATAAAAAAACTACCTATAAGGTACTATGTTCATTACCTGAGTGGCAAAATAATCTGTACAGTCAAACCCTGTGACACACAATTTACCTGTATAACAAACCACACATGTATCTATGAACCTAAATTAAAAGCTTTAAAGAAAGAAAAGTGTTGGAAATTACTCAGAATCATTTGAATTACTCACCCGACCATTCCCTAAACCTTTTGAATTAAAATAATAATATGTTTTCAGTTACAAGAGACAACATATGTTAAGATATAACATTTATTTTATTTTATTTTTTGAGACGGAGTTTCACTTTTGTTGCCCGGGCTGGAGTACAGTGCTGTGATCTCAGCTCACTGCAACATCCGTCTCCCGGGTTCAAGCGATTCTCCTGCCTCAGCCTCCTGAGTAGCTGGGGTTACAGTTGTGTGCCACCATGCCCAGCTAATTTTTTGTATTTTTAATAGAGGTGGGGTTTCATCATGTTGGCCAGGCTAATCTCAAACTCCTGACCTCAGGTGATCCACCCACCTTGGTCTCCCAAAGTGTAGGGATTACAAGCATGAGCCACCATGCCCAGCCAAGATATAATATGTATTTATCAAAGTTTTATGAGTTACAATAACAAAGACATGGAATCGACCTAGATGCTCATCAACAGTGAATTAGATAAATACAAGGGGGTACATATACACCATGGAACACTATGCAGCCATAAAAAAGAATAAAACCATGTCCTTTGCAGTAACATAGATAACAGCTTGAGGCCATTATCCTAAACAAATTAATTCAGGAGCATAAAACCAAATACTGCATGTTCTCACCTCTAAATGGTAACTAAATATTGGGTACTCCTGGACATAAAAATAGCCACTGAAAATTAATAGACAGAAATTGGGTGGGGTAGGAAGTGAAGAAGCGGGGGTTGAGAAACTAATTATTGGGTACTATATTCACTATCTAGTTGACAAGGTCATTCATATCCCAAACCTCAGCATCATGCAATACACTTATGTAACAAATGTGAACATGTAATGCCTGAATCTAAAATAAAATATGAAAATGTAAAATAAGACACTAAAAAAAGAAAAGGTAGTGGAATACTTCCGTGTTTCACTGTGACTGAAGAATTATCTTAAAAAAATAAAATCCATACCCCAAAATTTTATGGTCAAGAACATTAACCTACTGGAAAAATACAGTTATACTAATTATGTATTGGTGAAATCTTTTTTCACATCATTACTTTGTTGTCTAAGAAAACCACTAGCATATGGCTAGCTATTTAGCAGGATAACAATCATACTGCAACCTAAGAAAAGTGATGATTTCTTCTTCCATCATTTCAAATAAAAGAAAATCTTATTTGTAGTCCCTATAATATGAGAATTGTAGAAAAGTTGCCTATGACCTTCTTTTCCTTAGGACCCTGGATACATATAGTCTTCTACTAAGGTCCCTCAGAGACATTTGTGTTGCACATGCAGAATCTGAATGATCTCACATAATAGCTTTGCTATTGTAGTACTGGCCACTAAACAAAATAAAAATAAAAATAAAGAAAAAGGGAGTAATCCTCAGGAACTTTTATTTTTAGGAATAAATGTATCTGCACTTTCCCACAGTCTTCAGGTAACCAACAGAATCCAAATGATATGGAATTGTCAGTAATTATCATAGGTAAATTCTGCTAAACAATTCACCTTAAACACATAATGGACTTTAACTATAATCACTTCAAAAGAACAAATGAAAAGGCATTCATGGGAACAAAATACAACCTGAAAATATAATACTGGCAAAGATTAAGTGAACATAGATGCCTAGAGTTATCTGCATGATCTCCAGGATTAGATAACCTAACAAAGTTGGTAAGTCATGTAACTTTGATCCCACTCAGCTCTTACACATTTTAGCGACTATATGAAGCATGAATAGTATCACCATGTAGTAGACAATATGTGGTTGCCAATATTTCATTCCAATCCTATGGTATGATCCTGCAACTAAACATTTATTAAAAATGTCCACATCTTTCCACATTTTTCTATCTAAGCCCATAGATTTCATTGTTTTTTAACATAGAAACTTGATATCTATAGTCACTTGGTAAAATCTGAGCCATAATTATCAATTATATTTTTGGGGGTAGAACATAGATACAACTGTGAATAAAATATAAATCAAAACATGTATACTAAAGTTAAATTGTTTATTCAACTAATTACTCATATTCATCTATTTTATTCATGGTCATTGATATACTCTATAGGCTTCTTTGCAAGTGCTTCATTTATCTTATAGATCTTCTGTCTTTTTCCTCCCTCCACTGCCCTTGCTCTGTGCAGGTATCTCTATTCCTTTCTGACCAGCCCTTTTTCATCATTCCAAGTCTATTCAGGAAGCAGAAAAAAACACTTTAAATAAGACTTTTTTAAGTTTCTATTTTCTTCCCTTACCAAAACAAAAATTTTTACAATGTACCATGATAGTGAATGAACTTTTACTTTATATTGCCTAAGAAATTATTGTCATGTAAAGTCATTTTTTAGTAATATACTCATTTAGTAAAGTAACTTGAGGATTTTTGTATATGTATCTTTGTAATTGAAGTAAATTTCTCAATATGGGATTCAGATGTCTTGTATAAGAAACATCTGTGTACTTTTCTCAAATGCTGATGTTTATGATGGTCCCCATGGGACAGGTCCTTCTTTGGGGAAGGAGTAGAGAAATCTGAAAGTTTAAGATGACGCTCAGAGGATCACGGTATGTACTACTATTTGAGAACTGATCAACTTACAGTACTTCTTCTCATATCTACTTTTGTCTCTTAAAAATCACTAGAAATTCAAAAAGTTAAAAATGCCATGCTCTTTCAGGCAATCATCTGGCACATGGTATTATAATAAATGGGATAACAAATCCAGAGAGGTTAACAAAGTCCCCAAGGTCATAGAGCTTAAAAAGGGTTGAGCCAGAATTTAACCTCAATTCCATCTAACTTGGAAGCTTATTTCATTCCAGAGGTTTGGGCCCTAAATTAATTTTAGGGCCTAAGAACTCTTGGCCCTTCAGAGTCATATATAAAATTTTTTTAGTTGAAGGATTTGTACCAAATAATTATGCCTGATGCTGTGGAATTTGAACTAAAATCTAGTCTAGAGAGGTTAGGACTTGATGGAAGTCACAGAGCTGATGCAGACTCAAATTTCCATGGTCTTTGTACACATATTTACTGCCTCTTTCAAATTTATCTTTTATAGTCAAAAATATAGTTATTTCTTATGTATTCATAAATATTTCCATTGGAAAATCTATGTTATGGGTCTGGTACCACTGTGTCATTAGGAATTGTTATCAAAACATATTATAGGTATAATAGAAGGAACAAAACCTACATGTAGAGAGAGCAAAGCAGGCAACCAGAAGTCATCTCTAGCCCTTACCTTTACAATCACTGTGACAGTAGCAATACCAGGTGGCATTGTTCCATAAATATCAAAGGCCTCTACCAGAAAAGTGATACTTGCTTCTTGGTCTGGAAATGCCTCATAATCTAAACTCCTTAAAAGCGATAGTTCTCCTGTAAATGGATGTAGTGCAAAAAAGTGCTTCACTTCTGGGCTTCTTATCCGGTAAGACACATTTGCTCCAAGGTCGACATCTTTGGCCTGTAATAAGCAGAAGAATAGTTTTATTAGTGACGTTACCAAAATAAAGAAATGCAGGAAGGATGGAAGTCATGCGTTAGTGCCTAGGACAGCATCAATTTAACGAGGACAAAAAGACACGTTTTTTGTTTTTGTTTTTTAAAAAAGCACATTATTTAATAATTTACCAGGGAAGAGAAGGAGGGATGGGGGAGAGAAAGATGGAGGCAGGGAGGAAAGGAGGGAGACAGTGAGAGGGAGAGTCAGAGAGAGAGAGAGAGGGATCTTTCTATAAGATTTTGTCATTGTTGACGTTATTACTGTATCTGTTTAACTTGAAAAATCACTAAATGAACTATATCACAGTAAAAAAATAAATATTGTCTTAAATGACTGTTTCTTATTTTCTACTGATTTGATAATCATGAACAAATATTTTAAATAAAAATAAATACTGAGTGATTTCCATAAACATAATAGATGGCTAAAGTACTATAAGAAAACTGAGAAAATATAAGTAGTAATTATTTGTCACAGGGATCCTATAATACATTTCTAGAGATCACTCTACCATACTTCCTTTGATTTAACTAGGATTTGAGTAGTAGTTACGCACAAGGTGCTGTAGAGAGCACCAAAATGAATCCAGACACAATTACTGCCCTACAGGTTATGGTCTCAGAGAAGAAACAAGACACAAATACTAAAATAGAAAGGAAAAAAATGTGACATGCTATCTAAAAGATGTTCTAAATTGGGAACGATATCCTTTAGCTGAAAGGATGGGTTTTCATGGGAGTCTTGTAGAATGGCTATTTCACTCAGCAGTACAGACTGGCAAATGCACCTCAGGTACAGAAAACCGAATGGAGCAAGAATGAAAATGGGGAAGATCCAGAGTATGCTATAATGTGCATTTTTAAATGCAAACACCTCCTATGGTGAACCTCAGCCTTGGTCTCCTCCAATCAATTATTGACTTAACAATCAGAAAGATGCTATTAAAGCATACATTTTATTATGTGGTTTTTCCTGCTTAAAATCCCCTGGTTTTTAATTCAATTTTCAATCAACGCCATTATCCTTAACATGGTAAGAGCCACTACATTTTCTAGACCTTTAGCCCCTCACCCCTCACACTTTCCCATCTTCCATGATTTTGACCAGGCTTTTTCCCCCCAACTACTTTGAACAATCTTTCTTCCTTTTCTGCTTGGATAGCTCTTACTTGTCCCTCAGTTCACCATTTAGAAATAAGTTTCTCTAGCAAATATTCTCTTTGCCTTAAGATTAGGTTAGGAGCTCCACCTCTATTACCTAGGCCCTTTGTACTGAGGACCTACGTTTTAACTACTAATTTTCTTGACTGATAGCTAAACCAGCCTGAAAACTCGAAGAAAGCAGTAAATTTGTTTTGTTCACCTTTGTATCCCCAAAGTCTTTGCATCCCCTAGGACAGCATGAATTTAACAACACCAGCAGGAGACTTGGCATACTATACATACTGAAGACATGTTTGTTAAATAAATAACTTAACTAATTAATTAATTGACAGATGAATGGTGGAATAGATGAAGGAATAATTGTTCTCTCCCTGGCCAGTATTTGCCTTATTTAGATTTGTTAATGTTTATTGCTGAGTTCAATTATGGAAGGGATACAGAGTCTGGAAAAGTATGCTAAAAACATTCAAGTTGTGGACTGCAGGTGGAAAAATGGCTACTTTTTTTTTTTTCCAAAACATACCTTATAGACCAACTGAGTCAGTATTAAATGAGGTGGTTGCTTAAAAATGCAGATTTATGGATCAGCCTAATCTACTGAATCAAAATGTTCAGGACTGTGTAATTTATAGTTAAAAACTTAAAAAAGAGGCTTGATACAGAGATGTCATTAAAAAGGAGAGTTAGATTACTAGAAGATGGCTTTTGTGTATTGAATGTGAAAACAATACAGAATAATGGGTATAAACAATATTTGTAAAATAGAGGGGAAACCAATTTGTAACTCTCTATATTTTTTCTGTGTGTACACATTTATGTTATATATGTATAACCCACACAAATTCATATATATATATGTATTTTTTGACATTTGTGTGAACACAAAGATAAATGTGAAATAAATTTAATGCTGAGTACTCTGGAGGCACAATGTGGGAGATTATTAACTTTTGCTTCATAAACTATTGTATTGTCAACTGTTGGAATAAACAGAATATTACTTTTGTAAATTAAAAAACTATTAAAAAGTATATTTTTAATTTCTTACAAATAGATCTTTCTGCCCTTAATTTTTGGGATATCTTTAAAGTAGGCTTGCCACATAAAATACAATATGCAATATTGGAGAAATAATAAAAATTTATTCATTGTTTATCTGAAATTAAAATCCAACTTGGTATGTTGTATTGTTACTTGCTAATTTTGGCACACAAACCCTAATAGCAAATCTCCTAATGTAGGATTCATGTAATAAATGCTTTTTCCCACACACCTCTATTTGAAGGATGGTAGTCCCAGCTGGCAAATTCTCTTCAACAAGGACAGTGTATGTTGAATTGGTGAACACAGGACTGTTATCATCAATGTCCAAAACCTTGATGGCCAAGGTTAGAGTTGAATGACGAGGGTGTACTGCTCCATCTGTTGCCACAACAACAAGTTCATAGTAGTCCCTGACTTCTCTGTTAAGCTTCACTGCTGTGTAAATGCTCCCATTGGATGTGATACGAAAAAGATTATTAAAGTTACCCAAACTGTAGTGCACTTGACCATTTATTCCAGCATCAGGGTCTGTTGCCTATTAAATAAAACAAAAAAACAAAAAAATTCACGTAAGTTTTGACGGGCTACTGTAAATGAAGGTAACAGTTAACAAATTATGGTATTTTTCTAACCAAAAATTATTTGGCCCTCTAAGGAGGAAATGACAATGACAATACAATGCAAAATTTAAAACATGAAAAATATTATACTTTAATATTCTTCATTTAAAATTAACATAACAAAAACGGATAATGTCATTAGCAATAACAATACTATGTTATGACAGAAAACTCATAAAAATACTGAATCTTTGTCTTATGATTTTAATAGGTTTTGAATTCTAAAGTGAGAAAAAATTTTGTTTGTAATTCATTTAACATAATCTGCCGAGTGACAATTTAAGATTATGTAGGTTTTTGCTCACTGTATATATTCATTTTATATTTATATATGTTTAGTAATAATGTTACACATTATGTTTGTTTATAATAAATAATATTTTATTATGTTATGCTGTTATTTATGTGATAATGTTTATTATAATAAACATTAATCATATTTACCATAAATAATATTTATAAGTATAACCTGACTTAATCCTCATGATGTTGTTATGAGTAAATATTATTAATCTCATTTTACAAATGAGAACACTGTGGCTTATGGAAGGTTACACAAGAAAGAAATATCTCAGTGTCCCAGTTCTTAACACAATACTTCATATATAAAAGTACTTAACAAATGCTTGTGGAATTAATGAACATTAGATGAAATAAAACAGATTTGAAACTAAATCTGTTCCAAAAGTCAAATAGGATTAAAACTACAGTAACTGTAATGTATGTGCAAGGGACTCTTTTTCAACATTAGAATATACATCTCTGCATAAGTAAGAATGTTTGATACCATAATATACCTATATTTACTGAAAATTTGAAGTCATGTAAAATCACTTTGCATCAAATAAAATGAGAAAATATTGAGTAAATATTCATCGAATGAAATGTAATAAGAATTAATCTTAGCTAAAACTCAATTGTGATACTAATTATGAATCTCACTATCAGCTACTGTATATTTTGTTTTGAAAAGTTCCATGTAAAAGAAACTGAAATAAATCTTAGAAACTGTAAAATATTATATAATTATGCCCCAAACTGTCAACAAGGAAAGGAAGGAAAACAAGACACTTGGCTGCCTTATGAGCCAGGGACACAAAAATCACTCGAGGTCCATAAAGCGTGGAATGCAATATGATGTATTTTAACAGCACATATGCAGTGGTATATCCAGTTTTACAGGCAATGGTAAAGCATGCAGAATGGGGATGCTGAATATTTGCATCTTCTTTGAAACAAGAATGTCTAAGATGTGAAAATCATGTTTACAACAGTGCTCCTATATGTCATAATGCCAAGCATTTCAGCAGGATTTGTCTCTTTGACTCATCAAAACACAACTGCCCCTGGGAGTTTGACATCTCTGAGGTTTAATTCTGAGAAAAGATAGAAGAATTGCAGAAATACCTGAAGAGAAAAAATACGGTGACAGAGTAGAATAGTTTCTGTTGATATAGTTTCTTTTACTTTTATACTTTGCCTAGAATTTGTCTTACGAATTATTGACAAATCAGTCAAGCTGATCATTCTAGTGAAAACAACCAACACTGCCTTCTCCCTTTTTCACCAAAAAAAGAGGGTGATCTCTTTTTTTGGTCTGAAATTACTCATCAAGTAAATAGATAAAATTGTAAGCCAAGAACAAAATATAAATATGTTTTGTTTCATAATAATAATACCCTTAAAAATTTCAGTCACTTTTTCTGTCTATGGAATATCTTAAGATCAAAAAAACTAATCATTTATGCAATTAGAAATTTAAATGACTCTTGTTCAAGTTGTTTTTATTGACCCATATAATTGAATATTTATTATGGTAGAATGGCTCAATTTGACTGATGTGGCTGTGTGTCCGTGTGTTTTATACATGTCCAGCTGCTTAACTATACATCCACTAGGAAACATATCTAAACATATCTAAATTAGTTTTGTTTTTGCTCCCATAGCAAATTATCACAAATTTAGCAGCTGACACAAAACAAGTTCATTATTTTAAAGCTCTATAGGTCAAAAATTCAAGATGGTCTCACCAGGGCTATGTTTCTTTCTGGAGACTCTAAGGAGAAACAACTTCTTTGCTCATTCAAGTTGTTGACAGAATTCAGTTGCTAGAGTTTGTAGAACTGAGATCCCCACTTCCTTGATGGTTGTCATGTGAGGACCAATCCCGGTTGCTAGAGGTCCCCATATCCCTTGGTTCATGACACATTTCCACCATTTTTTTTTTTTTTTTTGAGACCAAGCCTTGCTCTGTTGCCCAGGCTGGAGTGCAGTGGTGCGATCTCGGCTCACTGCAACCTCCGCCTTCTGGGTTCAAGCAATTCTCCTGCCTCAGCCTCCTGAGTAGCTGGGATTACAGGCACCTGTCACCATGCCCAGCTAATTTTTGCATTTTTAGTAGAGACCGGGTTTCACCATGTTGGTCAGGCTGGTCTCAAACCCCTGACCTTGTGATCCACCCGCCTCGGCCTCCCAAAGTGCTGGGATTACAGGCGTGAGCCACTGCGCCTGGCCATTTCTTCCATTTTTAAAGCCAGCAATGGTGGTCAAGCCCCTCACATTTTTTGAATCCCTCCCTCCATCTTTTTCCATTTTATCTTTCTGACCTACTCTTCAGGCATCCTCCTTCACTTTTAAGGGCATGTAAGATTACATTATGCTCCCTTGGACAATCCAGGATAGTATCCCCATCTCAGAATTTTTAACCTTGATATATGTGTGTGCACATGTGTGCAAGTGTGTGTATACTGCCATATATAAATATATAGCAATCTATATTTTAGGATGGGATTTTTTTTTTTTTTTGAAACAGGTCTTGCTCTGTCACCCATGCTGGTGTGCAGTGGTGTGATCTAGGCTCACTGCAACCTTCACCTCCCAGGCTCAAGCAATCCTCCCACCTCAGCGTCCTGCGCAGCTGGCACTACAAGCACATGCCCCCAGGCCTGGCTAATTTTTTGTATTTTTATCAGAAACGGGGTTTCCTCTTGTTGCCCAGGTCAGTTTTGAACTTCTGGGCTTGAGCCATCCTCCCCCTTTGGCTTCTCAAAGTGCTGAGATTACAGGCATGAGCCATCTCACCTGGCCGGATAGGAGTTTTTAGAGAAAATATCCAAGCAGATATTCATTAAGCAGACTGACAGTAAATGCTAAATGGGGCATCCTCACCAATAGAGTTTCAGAATTTTAAATAATCAGTTTAAATTGGTATAAATTACGATATGTCAAGTACACACACATTTTGACTGAATCTATGACAACTTAATTCACTGAATTCAAAGCTACCATGACAAGAAGTATATTTGATGCTTATGGAAAAAAAGACTACAATATCTTTGGCTCTGTTTATATGCTGGATTACATTTACTGATTTGCGTATATTGAACCAGCTTTGCATCCCAGGGATGAAGTCCACTTGACAGTAGATGCAGAAAAAGCGTTTGACAAAATTCAACGACACTTCATGCTAAAAACTCTCAATAAATTAGGTATTGATGGGACTTATCTCAAAATAATAAGAGCTATCTATGACAAACCCACAGCCAGTATCATACTGAATGGGCAAAAACTGGAAGCATTCCCCTTGAAAACTGGCACAAGACAGGGATGCCCTCTCTCACCACTCCTATTCAACATAGTGTTGGAAGTTCTGGCCAGGGCAATTAGGCAGGAGAAGGAAATAAAGGGTATTCAATTAGGAAAAGAGGAAGTCAAATTGTCCCTGTTTGCAGACGACATGATTGTATATCTAGAAAACCCCATTGTCTCAGCCCAAAATCTCCTTAAGCTGATAAGCAACTTCAGCAAAGTCTCAGGATACAAAATCAATGTACAAAAATCACAAGCATTCTTATACACCAACAACAGACAAACAGAGAGCCAAATCATGAGTGAACTCCCATTCACAATTGCTTCAAAGAGGATAAAATACCTAGGAATCCAACTTACAAGGGATGTGAAGGACCTCTTCAAGGAGAACTACAAACCACTGCTCAAGGAAATAAAAGAGGATAGAAACAAATGGAAGAACATTCCATGCTCATGGATAGGAAGAATCAATATCGTGAAAATGGCCATACTGCCCAAAGTAATTTACAGATTCAATGCCATCCCCATCAAGCTACCAATGCCTTTCTTCACAGAATTGGAAAAAACTACTTTAAAGTTCATATGGAACCAAAATAGAGCCTTCATCGCCAAGTCAATCCTAAGCCAAAAGAACAAAGCTGGAGGCATCACACTACCTGACTTCAAACTATACTACAAGGCTACAGTAACCAAAACAGCATGGTACTGGTACCAAAACAGAGATATAGATCAATGGAACAGAACAGAGCCCTCAGAAATAATGCTGCATATCTACAACTATCTGATCTTTGACAAACCTGAGAAAAACAAGCAATGGGGAAAGGATTCCCTATTTAATAAATGGTGCTGGGAAAACTGGCTAGCCATATGGAGAAAGCTGAAACTGGATCCCTTCCTTACACCTTATACAAAAATCAATTCAAGATGGATTAAAGACTTAAACGTTAGACCTAAAACCATAAAAACCATAGAAGAAAACCTAGGCATTACCATTCAGGACATAGGCATGGGCAAGGACTTCATGTCTAAAACACCAAAAGCAATGGCAACAAAAGACAAAATTGACAAATGGGATCGAATTAAACTCAAGAGCTTCTGCACAGCAAAAGAAACTACCATCAGAGTGAACAGGCAACCCACACAATGGGAGAAAATTTTTGCAACCTACTCATCTGACAAAGGGCTAATATCCAGAATCTACAATGAACTCAAATTTACAAGAAAAAAACAAACAACCCCATCAAAAAGTGGGCGAAGGACATGAACAGACACTTCTCAAAAGAAGACATTTATGCAGCCAAAAAACACATGAAAAAATGCTCATCATCACTGGCCATCAGAGAAATGCAAATCAAAACCACAATGAGATACCATCTCACACCAGTTAGAATGGCAATCATTAAAAAGTCAGGAAACTACAGGTGCTGGAGAGGATGTGGAGAAATAGGAACACTTTTACACTGTTGGTGGGACTGTAAACTAGTTCAACCATTGTGGAAGTCAGTGTGGCGATTCCTCAGGGATCTAGAACTGGAAATACCATTTGACCCAGCCATCCCATTACTGGGTATATACCCAAAGGACTAGAAATCATGCTGCTATAAAGACACATGCACACATATGTTTATTGTGGCATTATTCACGATAGCAAAGTCTTGGAACCAACCCAAATGTCCAACAATGATAGACTGGATTAAGAAAATGTGGCACATATACACCATGGAATACTATGCAGCCATAAAAAATGATGAGTTCATGTCCTTTGTAGGGACATGGATGAAATTGGAAATCATCATTCTCAGTAAACTATCGCAAGAACAAAAAACCAAACACCGCATATTGTCACTCATAGGTGGGAATTGAACAATGAGATCACATGGACACAGGAAGGGGAATATCACACTCTGGGGACTGTTGTGGGGTGGGGGGAGGGGGGAGGGATAGCATTGGGAGATATACCTAATGCTAGATGACGAGTTAGTGGGTGCAGCGCACCAGCATGGCACATGTATACATATGTAACTAACCTGCACAATGTGCACATGTACCCTAAAACTTAAAGTATAATAATAATAAAAAAAAGACTACAATATCCCCCAGAAAGCTACTCTAAAAATTTTAAGGTGACTGAGACACACATCTAATGGAAACAAAGGGAACAGAATATAAAATGCAGAGCTATTTCCTTATCTATTCCTATGTCCCCATTAAATTAAGGAGCATAAATAAGGTGATGTAAGTTAAGCAACATGAGCTGGCTAAGCAAGGCAGTTTTACTTCTTTACTATTCTAGATGAACATGTAGATGTTAAACAAGATAACCAAACATAGAATCCCTTATTATCAGCAGTACTGTCAAGAACTTTGCATTGATGTTTAATATTTAGTCAAGCAGCTCAGTGTATGATGCTATAATGAAAATATATATTTTCCTAGAAATCAATTAAAAGTTAATTAAATTTGTTAATAAGAAAAATAACACATCTCTTTTCCCCTTGTACTACATCAAAGCAATGAACAGTAATAGCTGCAACTTTATAATCATCTGTCCATGGTTAACACATTTTTGTAATATACACCTTACTATGGGGCCTGATTTGTGGCTACTAATTTGTGAATGCATATTGCTGGGAAATTGGCTGATAGCCTGTAGTCAAATAAAGACCTCACTGGACAGAACTTTGAATAATTGCCAGAAACACCACTTGCAAACCTTATTCATTAACACCAAAGTTAGAGTATATGAAAGACAACCAAGTAATTACTTAAGAAAAAAGTCAAGGGAATTTATTGAACCAAAGTTTTTTGTATAATTTTTGAGAAGCGATTTTATAGCATGCCACTTGAAAAGGGAAAAGGGAAATATATTTCTTAAACACTAAATTCATTCCCCACCCCTTTTTTTCTCATTATCTTCTTAGAATGGTCTGTTACACAATTCTTTCCATCCATAAAAGTGGAAGTCCATTACTGGGTTTGCTACCCTGGGGGTTACCAGTCCTGTAGAGAAGACCTTAAAGCATGCCTGTATGGGTGGAATATACTAGGATAAAACCTCAAAGAACAGGTTGATGTTTGCACTCCTTCCACTGAGAAGTCCCTGGGTAGGTTACTTGTGTAATTTACAATGATTCATTTCCATTTAAAATATGTCAAATATCCATTCAGATTAATTATTTAGATAGAAAATTTTATGACAAAAATCAGCCCCAAGGAAATAACTTGAGGACAAAACCAAAATGTTATAGCTATTATAAAGGTGTGAACTACCATGTAGCACCTAATTGGCCCAGTGTGAAGCTGAGAGAGTGCTTTGCTCTACCTTTTGCTTGTCCTTTACAGCGATTTAAGAGGTCGTGTACATCTTTCTCACTTTGAAGTGGGAACCATAAAAGCTGTTGATCAGGGAGGTTGGGCAGTGCATCCTTCATGACATTATTAGTGAAAATACATTTTTAAAATTATTATCTATTAACTTCAAAAAGATGTACAATAGTTGTCTTTTTTTTTTTTTTTTTAAGGAGCTGAGCTATTTCAAGGGCTGTGATTATTAGTGTAAAAGGAGACAAGCAATTTAAAGACTCATAATGCAGGTAAATTTTTTCACTCTCCACACAAATGCCTCATAATCATTATTGAACAATGGCAAGTAGACTTACTGGCCAGAAGATAACTTGCATAACTTGAATTAAAATCACTAAAAACATAACCAGAATGAATAGCTTTTCATTCTAGTCCCTAGAAATCTAGTCCCTAGAAAACACATATTTAACACAAATAATTTCTCAAGGGGTCAGCTATTATTCTAAGATACACAATAAACTACATTTTATCCTAGCATTCAAGGCTCTACCTGGTCTTGTTCTAACCTATCTTTATGCATTTATATCCCTCAGACTAACTCTCTGACACAAACTCTGTGTTTTAGTCAAAGGAGTCTATTTATGGTATGAATCACCACCAAGAAACTCTCAAGTGTCAGTGGTTTGTTACCACTGATGTTTCTTTCTCGCCTATACAGCACCCACTGTGAATTCCAAATCCAGCTTTACTCTATCTTGTCTTTACTCAGAAGAGAAGCTAAAGGAGCAGGCTTCATTGGAATATGAAGCTCATGTGGTGCAAGAAGAAAAAAAGACATGAGATAGCCAAGCTGCAGCTTTTAACGCTTCTGCTTGGAGGTCAACGTATCACCTATACTCCTGCTTCATCGTTGAAGGCAAATCACATGACAAGGCCGATGTCAAGGGGTGCAGAAATTCCATTCCCTCACACAGTGGGACAGTGATAAATCAGAAACACTTTTACAATGTACTACCCTGGTTTTCCTTGAAATGACCATGCTCTCCCTCACCTTCCCTGATATAGGTTTTTTTTTTGTTTGTTTTTATTTTCCCCCAATCCAACTTAAACGTTCAAAACCTAGCTTCAGTTCTACTTCATCTGGGAAACCTCTTCTTTCCATCCAGCCTTCTGGTCCCTCTTGCACATAGCAAAACTCACTTTTTATTGCTATTTAAGTATGCTACGCAATTAAATAATTGGCCTAAAAATCTGTGGTGTATCCATGTATTATGTAATAGGAGACACTGTTAGAGAAAAGAATCTGTAAATTGTTTTGTGGAGTGTACAATGTATGAGAAGTGGAAAGTTGGAGCACAGATGGAAATATGGTAGAGAAGGAAAAAAAAAAGATAGCAAGCAAATAAAAATAAACAATATTCCTGTAGTTGGGTGTTATTTAACGCAAATGAACTGAAGGTGTCAAATTAAATAAGACAGTTTAAGCTGTTCCAACATAACCTGCAGGCCTCTTACTAAGTAAGCATTAGGAAGAAACTTTGCACTAAAAACCTTTACATATTCAGTTCTCATGTTAATGGTAAACACTTGAAGATTATGACATCAATGCTTCAGGAAAAGAGTTGTTGTCATGTTCACGCTCATACAGCAAAGAAAGAAAGTAATGTTGTTTCATGTTCATTAAATGTATTTACATAGTAAGGCTGTCTTTTCCCTTTTTCAAATATTCCTTATAGTGCTGAAAACGAAGAGGAAAACCTGGGAGGACTCATTTCATATTTCCCCACCATTGCTTAGTATTTGATAATTATGCAGTATAGGTTGAGTGTGTATATACCTCTTTATGTGATGGTAAAAAAAATTATATATTAAATTATATTTAGTTTTCCAACCTCTTCTTACTTCTATTTCTCCAACTTCTTCATTCTCATCTTTTTCTCTGTGGGCGAACATATTCTTACCACTAAATCTAAGTGCATTTTGCCATACTAACCATGCTATTTCATGTCTGCTTTATCCAGTCATAAAATCTTCCCCTTATTTCCAAAACTGATTATTCTTCAGCCCTAGTATCACCTCTCAGAAGCATCTGAGTAAGCTAAATGCCTCATCTTCATGCTCCTGAAGCTCATTGTATGTTTCTTTACCACATGCCCTATTGCTTTTTTTCTGTCATTTTTTAATAGCCCACATGAAATTAAGAATTCATAAGGACAGGATGGCTTATTTATATCATACAATGCCTGCTTTATTTTTCTTTTTGCAATGACATAGGTTAGATATGCAATAATTTCTGCCAAAATTTCTTCTGAAGCTATTTCCATTTTTCAATTACATATCATTCCCACCCCAACCACCCAAACACATGAAGAAATAAAAATTGCCAATTAGTATTTATAATTTTGTCTTAAAAGAAGGTATGTTTTCTGTTTATTAGAAGAAATATAAGAAAATAAGACACATTTTGTTCTTTAAATAAAACTTAAGTGATCACATAACTACTTATTAAACTTTGTCCTTTTGTTACATTTTATTGCTTTCTTGTTTTCAATTTTGTCACTATATTAGTCAGTTTTCACAATGCTATAAATAACTTCCCAGAAACTGGGGGATTTATAAATGAAAGAGGTTTAATTGACTCAGTTTCACATGGCTGGGGAGGTCTCAGGAAACTTACAATCATGGTGGATGGTGAAGGGGAAGCAGGCAACTTCTTTACCTGGTGACAGAAAAGAGTGAAGAAGGAACTCCCAATCACTTATAAAACCATCAGATCTAGTAAGAACTCACTCACTGTCATAAGAAGAGCATGGGGGAAGCCTCCCCCATGATCCAGTCACCCCGCTCCTTGGACAAGTGGGGATTATAGGTCCCTCCCTCAACACATGGGGATTACAAATCGAGATGAGATTTGGGTTGGTACACACAGCCAAACCATATCAGTCACCTAGAATTCTTTAAGGAAATCTATTTCTAGGTCAGTTTTAAAGTAAGTACAATATATATACCTATTTTTGTATAATTAAATATATTAGTTTAACTTTTAACAGTCTATTCTAGCATTGCTTAACCTTTTTCATTATCAACTCCTGTCAAAAGAGGATTTTAAGATTTTTTTCTTTCTAATAGAACCCTTATAAATTTGTACTTCCACAGATATATTTATGTATATATATTATCCATGCTTTATACATAAGAAAAGTAAGGTTTTCTTGTCTCCCAAAACCTGATTTTCCACATTGGAAATGATCTACCACCGTTGAGAATGCATGCTCTAGCCAAAAGAGAGTCCTCTGTAACTTCCTTATATACCATAAACATTTCCACATAAGCATTGTTCTTTCAGCACTCATTACAGTGGCATCACTTTCTAAAATGTCTGTCCATATTACTATATGGGGCAACTCAGGGTATCTCTGAGCTTGTACTCAATACTCATCACTTCTTAAGTAATGAAATAAGGGAAAAATACCATCTCCATGAATTGCATTTTATGTGATAATCTGCTTAGCCCAGGCCTTCCTATTTATTTGATTATGCTTACATTTTCTGCCAAGTTATAACACAAAGTATTGTGGTTTGTTTTCTGAATAACTATTTTAAATAGTCTTCTCTATGCTTATTGAATATGTGACATTTTGCTTATCAGGTGTTTTTATAGGTCCTATATACTAATCCAAGTTTTAATTTTCTTTTTTCTAGTATTCTGTTGGGTTCAATATAAACATGCCCATGCCCTTCTCTGAAGAGTCAAGAGTAATGTATACCTTAAGCATTGTCCTTCTGTCACAGGGCTTTTCATTATATTACATTGTCTCACAAATCATTTTCTTGTATCATTTCTAGAAAAAAAATTCTTAACTGGAAACTGAAAAGAATGTGACAGCCAGATTGGATTCTCTGTGAAATTCTATACAATTAAATTTTCTGGATAACATTCAAGTAAAGGATTAACAGAATTGTAAGTAAAACAAGAGCAATAAAAATGCCTCTGGCTAATATAATAACTATTTAATGAGAGAAAAATATCTCTTAATTTCCCAATACTATCAATCATTTCATTTGCTGAATATAAGCTCACGTTTTTCCCAAACAATACCCATAAAATTAAAGGTGTTTTTCTCTATTTTACACACATTGTCACAATTTGACCTACCTTGATAACATCACAGGGATAGAGCCAGATATAGGTTCCAGTTTTATTTTATCATCACTCATTCCTTGAGCTAGTTTAGTAATTTTCAGCTGTTTCATTACCTTAATTTGGGATGTCTCCAAATTGGTTGATTTAAAAATGTATGTTAGGTATTCATTTTGCTGACAACAATTCACTGAAGTAACTGAGGATCATGTTTTCTAATGTCTTGTCCAACACAGTAATTTAAATTAGGAAAACAGAATTAATTGGAAGAAACAACTTATGTTTCTCTATCTACTCCCTGGGACTGCATTCAAAGAGCTAAGATGTACACAATGTGAAACTGCCTTTTGAATTAGAAGTTATGAACTCAGATTCTGCTGTGTCCTTCCTTTTCCAGCTGCCTTCCTTCAGATATACTTTCCTAGTACCTTCCTGTGTGCTACTATGTAAATAGTAGGTAACTATTTTAGAATCATTCCTCAGCAGCAGGCTTTATGAAAAGTGCTGTCAGTTTGTTTTCTTTAATTGTGGTGTAAACAGTACTGCTGCTTACCTTAATATTAATTATATACACACATTTTTAGAAGTTACAGATATATAAAAGGGCCAGGTACTTTATTAACATCCTTTTTTCTTTCTGGTAAAGGTAAAATAAGCCAGATTGGAGATTAAAAAGTGTAGGAAACTTCATTTGGATGCCATTCCTTTGTTAATTGTTAGCATGTAGGCAATAAGAGGAATATTTCAATATCAATTGGCCAAGCAGAAATTTTCCTGAGAATAACAGAATGTTTTCAATGACATGTTATTTATGGAGTGTAACTGTTCCACAGGAGCAGTCTAGTCAGTAGAATTAAATGATACTGTATACTAGAACTGGAATCTGAGATAAAATAGAAGTGGTAAGTTTACAGGCACACTCTGTTTCATTGCACGTGGCTTTATTGTGCTTCACGGACGTTGCATTTTTTACAAATTGAAGGCTTCTGACAAAGATGCCTTAAGCAAATATATTGGCACCATTTTTCCAACAGCGTGTGCTCATTTCATGTCTCTGAGGCACATTTTGGTAATTCTCAGAATATGACAAACTTTTAAATTACTACTGGATCTGTTATGGTGATCTATGATTAGTGATCTTTTAAGTTACTATTGTGGTTGTGTTGGGGTGCCGCAGAACACACCATATGAGAGCAAATTTAATTAATAAAGGTTCTATGTATACATTTTTTTGACACATGGTCCAAGATGAGATGGTGTATGTGTTCTGATTTCTCCACCCACTGACCATTCCCCCATCTTTCTCACTTTCCTTGAGCCTTCCTATTCTCTGAGACACAGTGAAATTAAAATTAGGCCAATTAATAACCCCACTATGTATGGGCTCTAAGTGTTTAAGTGAAAGAGTTGTGTGTCTCTGATTTGAAATTAAAAGCTAGAAATGATTAAGCTTAGTGAGAAAGGTAGGTCAAAAGCTGAGAAAGCTTAAAAACTTGGCCTCTTGTGCCAGTTAGCCACATTGTGAACGCAATGGAAAAGATATTTCATAAATTAAAAGTTCTACTCCAGTGCAAACACAAATCATAGGAAAGTAAAACAACCTGATGTGAAGCTGATGTGAAGAAAGTTTGAGTGGTCTGGATAGAAGATCAAACTAGCCACAACATTCCCGTAAGCCAAAGCCTAATCTGGAGCAAGACCTTAACTCTCTTCCTTTCTCTGGAGCTTGAGAGAGGGAAGGAAGCTGCAGAAGAAAAGTCTGAAGCTAGTAGAGGTGGGTTCATGAAATTTAAGGGAAAAATAAAAAGCCATCTCCATAACATAAAAGTGCAAGGTGAAGCAGCAAGTGCAGATGCAGAAGGTGTTGCAGCTAGTTATCCAGAAAATCCAGCTAAGATATTTGTAGAGGGTGGCTACGCTAAAAAAACAGATTTCCAATGTAGATAAAACAGTTTTCTATTAGAATATGCCATCTAGAACTTCCGTAACTTAAAACAGAGAGGTCAATGCCTAGATTCAAGGTTTCAAAGGATGGGCTGACTTTCTTGTTAGGTGCTAAGAGCTGGTGACTTTAAGTTGAAGCCAATATTTATTGACCATTCTGAAAATCCTAGTGCACTTAAGAATTCTGTTAAATTTACTCTGTCTGTGATCAATAAATGGAATAACAATGCCTAATAAAAGCATATATTTATGGAAGCATAAACTATGTTTACAGCATAGTTTAGCAAGTATTTTAAGCCCATGGTTGAGTCCTACTGCTCAGGAAAAAAAAAAGACTTCTTTCTAAACATTACTGCTCATTGAGAATGCACCTGGTCACTCAAGAGTTCTGATGGAGATGTAAAAGGACATCAGTGTTGTTTTCTTGCCTGTTAACACAACTTCCACTCTGCAGCTCATGGATAAAGGAGTAAATTTGAGGTTTTCATCTTATTATATAAGAAATAAATTTCATAAGATTATAGCTGTCATTGATAGTTATTCCTCTGATGGATCTGCGCAAAGTGAACTAAAAATCTTATGGAAATGATTCACCATTCTAGATGCCAATAGCAACATTTTTGATTCATGGAAGGAGGTAAAAATATCAACATTAATAGAAGCTTGGAAGAAGTTGATTTCTTCCTTCATGAATGACTCTGAGAGGTTCAAGAGAGGTTTAAGACTTCAGTTGGATGAAGGAATTGCAGATGTGATAGACATGGTGAGAACTAGAATTAGAGGTGGAGCCTGAAGATGTGAGTGAATTGCTGTAATCTTATGATAAACTTGAACAGTTGAGGAGTTGCTTTTTATGGAAGAGCAAAGAAAGTGGTTTCTTGATATGATACCTACTCCTAATGAAGATGCTGTGAACATTGTTGAAATAGCAACAGATAATTTAGAATATTTTATATACTTTGCAGCAAGGATTAAGAAGATTGACTCCAATTCTGAAAAAAACTTATTTAGCTACAATGCTATCAAACAGCATCACTAGCTACAGAAAAAAATTTAATGAAAGCAAGAAGTATTCAATGCAGCACAATTCATTGTTGTCTTATTTTAAGAAACTGACACAGCCATCCCAACTTCAGCAACCACCCTCCTAATCAGTGAGCAGCCACCGACAGTGAGACAAGACCCTCTATCTGTATAAAGATTAAGACTTGCTGAAGGTTCAGATGATTGACAGTATTTTTTTAAGCCATAAAACACTTTAATTAAGGTATGGACACTGTTTTTCAGACACAATGCTAATTGCAGTATGGAGTATACTTAATGGAGTATAGTATAGTGTAAAAATAATATTTATATGCACTGGGAAACCTAAAACCTTATGTGACTCGCTTTGTTGCAACATTTGCTGTATTACTGTGGTCTGGAAGAGAACTCTCAATATGTCTGAAATATGCTTGTATTAAAAATGTGTATTGCTTTGAGAAACAGAAACTCTACAACCTATCTACCAAGAATCTTTGCAGATAATAAAGAAAGAAGTTATTGACTTATTTCAAACTTAAAGTCTGAGGAGTCTAAATGGAGACTGAAGTTACGTCTAACATGACAAGTGTGAACCACTTTGATTTGGTTTGCCCAGAGGAAACATTACTCCTGCTACTTTCATAAAGACTGATTGCTTTTGACAGAAATCTGTCTGTGCAGAGTTGGATGAGTATGATACTGAGAAGTCATAAAACCATTAGAAAAGACTGGGCTCAGAGGATCTCCTCATAAAAATGTTCACATAGAAGGAATAAGACAGTGAAAAAGAGGCTGTATTTGCTATATATCCACGTTTTGAATTATGACACACATAGGGAATATTTCCAGAGCTTGGTTTCAGAAATCCCAATGAACTAATTCTTCTGAGATATCATAAACTAAATAGTGGGAAAGCAAGCCAAAGAAATACTGTCTGATTTATTTATTTTGCAGACTGCACTTAGATTTTTTAAAAAAGAGCCTCTCACTTTGATTCTTGTATGACTTGAAGAAAAAGCTATACTGTATAAAGGTGTTTGCAGGTGGGTTCTCTGGCAAGCAGACAATGAGGCAGAGATTAGTTGCAAGAGTTTTGTTGGGGTATGCTTTGGGGGTCAACATTTTTGGAGGGCAAAGGACAAGACCAGAATTGGATTCAGGGAGAAAGTCAAACTACTGTGCAGGGTCAACTACAGCCTTGGCCAACCCAAGGAAGGAGCTGCAGAATTGCAATTGCATGTCACAGTTTTTCTGAGCTGGGGTAAAATGTCCAGCATTTTACACTCAGGCATCAGTCAGGATATGGGCTACACTGAAATGGGTGTGACTATGGGCAAGGGAACCTTCTGTAGATAAGGTCATCTCTGAAGTGGCTAGCAGCTGTACATCCCTCTTTACTCCTTCATCCCTACATCACTCCAAAAAGCCAAGACATTCAGCTCTACCTTCAAGGGAGATCTGCTTGGCACACAGTCTTCATAACAAGCCTCTATCTTGGATTGGTTTTTTTCTTAGAGTATAAAATCCTTGCTTAACAGAATATAGCAAATTTTATACACATACACACATATATTAAATTATTACAATATCATTCATTGTTTTCAAATGAAACAGCCAGCTACATTATTACCTCAAAGGTGAAAAAGTCTAGGGTTTGATTTTTTTGATCCAAACTAATATTTGTCATTTTCCACCCCTGTGCCCAGAGACGTAACTCATATTTTCCTGTTGAATTTGTTTCCCAAGTAGAAACAGAAGTCTTAAATATGATGAACTTTAGGTTTTTTCTTTTAGTTCTTATAAACACCCAGTATGGCAGTTATTATTGTCCATATTTTACAGCCAAGAATATTTCAGAAAAACAAAAAATAAGTTCATTTTCCTTTAGCTAGCAAATAAGAGTATTTGGATTTGAATTTAGAGTATGAATGTGCCATCTGTTTGTAATTTTTGTGCAGGTAGGGGATGCTGCTATAACTAGTGTAGCATTATTAATTATTCTAGCTGCATGATAGATTGGAGTCCAGAGATAGAAAGATGAGCTGGACATAATTTAGAATTCACTCTGAATTATTTTCATGATGGGGATTAAGGGCCATATCACACAAATACACACTTGAAGGTTATCATTACATAGCCCCTCAGACTTTACATATATTTCATTAGAAAAATAAAAATCTAAGTTACAGAGAATTGTCAGTGGGTTCCCTCAATGTCTCCCTTACTCTGTGGCAAGCTAGTCTGACATGATATCTAACAGAAGGAAAAACATACTTCAGATAAGTCATGGAAGTCATACCATGAAGTCATGAGAATTACAGTATATAGTGTGCCCAGAGCTGTGAATTCCACTAATTATTTTGAAACATTGAAATATTCATTTCAAAATAAATCTATAAACCATCCAACATCTGTACTTATCTTTATCATTCTCCTGCTGCTAAAATTGAGGAAAACTCCACTTCCTCCTAGGTTCTCAAGGGAACATATGACACTTGAGCTTTTGGGACTCTGTTGCCTCTCTTTCTGGCATTTCTACATCCCTCTTTACTCCATCTATTGCCATCAGTTTTCAAACCTGCTGAAGAATTTATCATTACAAAATAAAGAGAAATGAGAAAGAAAATATAATTGCTTCCTACTATGTCTGTTTTCCTACAATCTCTTCACATCCCAAGATTCTATGTGAGGGCAGTGGGTGGGGGAAGAAAAGGACAACATATATATCCATTGCACTCATTTATTAATGAGTTATTTTGTTATTTAGTCATGCAAATCATGCACTATACAAAACATACACTATGTTTCCTAATACTGTTTACTTAATTACTCTTAAAAAGTCATAATTAGTTCTTTAAAATGTAAAACTAAAATATGACAAATGATGCCATCTTTGCTATTGAGATGGTTTGGCTGTGTTCTCACCCAAATCTCATCTTGAATTGTAGCTCCCCTAATTCCCATGTGTTGTGGGTGGGACCTGGTGGGAGATAACTGAATCATGGGGGCGGTTTCCTCCATACTGTTCTCTTGGTAGTGAATAAGTCTCATGAGGTCTGGTCTGATGGTTTTATAAGAGGTTTCCCCTTTGCTTGGCTCTCATTCTCTCTTGCCTGCTGCCATGTAAGACGTGCCTTTTACTTTCTGCCATGATTGTGAGGCCTCCCCAGCCATGTGGAACTGTGAGTTCAATAAACCTATTTTTTCTTTATAAATTACCCTGTCTCAGGTATGTCTTTATCAGCAGCGTGAAAATGGGCTAATACATCTATATTCAGTTACTAAATGTGTTCTGTGAATGAAGTTGGATGTTGAATGCAGATGCTAATGTACTGCCACATGCCAGTTAGACACAATTATGTATGTATGGAGATATATATAATAAAGGGTACTTGTTTAGGAATATTTTACAAAAGCATGGCCTGTCAGTGTGCACCATACATTTCAGAGACATGATGAAAAAACATTACCACTAGAGTGTCACACTACAAATGTGATTTTTTGAATTCTCTATAAAAATGTCAATTTCCCAAGCTTAGCATATATGTGTGTCTAAATGTAATGGCAAGCTTCATAAATGATGAGCATGCCAATATACGAAGATTTGGATGCAATTATTTACTCTAAAACTTCATCAATATTATGTGGTTGCAGGTAACTTTTAAATAGGCCCTTTTGGATCTCACATGAATTGAAATAGGAAAAAAATCTATTTAAAGAAGTCCTGAAGTAGACGTATATGCTTAATATTAAACATTGTTTGAAATTGAAGAGTCTGGCTTAACACACTAAATTAAGAAAGAAGAAAGAAAGCAAGAAAGTTGGATGTTGAATGCAGATGCCAATGCAGTGCCACATACCAGTTAGATAGCATGTGGCAAGTTCTAATGGGCACAAAATGTGCCTTGTTCACATTAATGCTTTAGTGTAGCACTGAATTTGCCTCTCAGTAAATGTTAACTAAATTTAAAAAATAGTATTATTTTCCCCAAATACATCAATTCATAACATTACAAAATAATTATGCTATAAGTTTGATTTGACTTAACCATACATGTTTTCATCCATCAATTCATTCATTTATTCACCCACATTTATTGTTGACTTTAAGCTGAACAACATTTTCAGGGCTGGGGCTCTAACTAAGGACAAGAGTAATGTGTTCTTTGATCTTATGTCACTTGAACCAAGGTGAAAAAGTAGATATTAAAAAATAATTGCCTTTTAAAAATTATTACAGTGATAAACCTAAGTAATAAAGTAAATATGCATTGCATAATAAGAGCATACAGCAGGACTTTTAACCCGGCCTCCTGAAAATTACATTCTAATGGGAAAGACAAATGTCAACCAAAATATTAAGTTACGAAAATAAACAACTTCATATTTTAATGGACATTATGAAAAAGTAAAGTGAACTATGAGAGCACATAAATATAGGTACTTAAATCCAATATTGTGGGTTCAAAAAGGAAATGACATTCAACAGCATCCAGAACTCTTAAACTTTAGTTTTCACACTGTCAGGAAGTTTGGAATCCCAACGGTGACTTTCACATTACTTGTATTAAATAAAAGTCATGACAAAATGATTACATTTTTCCCATTAGTTTACAATATTTGTAAATACAGGAAATGACAATAGATACAGTACCTCTTGATGTTAGTAACATTCTTGAGATTATTTGATATTAGTAACATTCTTGAGATTATTTTTAGTAATTAAGATAGAAAAAAAATGTTTTCTATATAATGGCATAATGACTTAGATTCAGGGATGACTGAAGAATCATTCTCAAGTTGAATGTCAAACTGGGGAGGCTCTGATGGCACGAAGCAGCTTTCTATAACAATTTCCCATGGATGAAATATTGCCAGACATTTTTGTAACGTCTTGGGTGATGGTAAATTCTCTCTTTTAAGTTTTAGGGAATCCTATTAATTAGGACTACTCTCTCCATTTCATAGCTAAGGAAACTGAGTTTCATATGGATTAGATCATTTGCCCAAGTCAATAGTTACTAAGTGATGCAGCTAGAATTTGAATGCAGACAACCTAAATAGGAATATGCTATATTTGCAGGCAGTCAAAAATGCTGTAAAGAAAATTTAATGTTGGTAAAGGGAAAGGGGGTATACTTGTTTCTGGAGGACAGGGAGAGTGCTATTGAAATGGGGTACTCAGTGAAGTCATCCTTGCAAAAGATGTCTTTTTGAATGAAAGAGTGAATCACACAGAGAGTTAGAGAAAGAGTGCTCCAGGCAGAGGTAACAACAAGTACAAAATCCATTTGAAGGTTTGGTAAGCGTAGCTGTGTTCAAGAACAGCAAGAAGCCCAGTGTGGCTGGAGTGGAGTGATGCAAATGATGTTGGAGAGAGCAGGAGGAGCCAAGTCATGTGGAGATATGAAGGCTATGAAAAAGGAGTTTGGATTCTGTTCTAACACAATGAGCATCCACTGAAATGTCTGAGTGGCAAAATGGTGTCATCTAATTTGCATTTTTAAAATATCACTCTTGCTGTAGTGCAGAAATTGACTGTAAGAGGGGTAGCACAGGTCAAAAAGTAAGATACTATTTACATAATCTAGGGGAAAAATGATTGTGGTTTAGAATAGGTGAGGAGTACTTGCCTTTGGAATATGTTTCAGACAGATTTACTGATAATGCAAGAATCAGAAGTGGTCCTAGGAAGCAGATACTTAAGATGAGATTTTGGAATTTGCTAATTTGCTAGCCAAATGGCATGCTTACTGTACAGGAGTTCAGAGTAAGTCATGATTCATTTGAAGCCTTCACCTGAGATGAACTGATATGGTATATGGGGGAATGGGGAGCCTGGTTTAATGCCATATCTGTATAATTTCAGATTTATCGGTGAACATTAATTCATAAAACTTACAGAGTTGATTGGTTGCTAAATATAACAAAGGTGTTGAAAAAGAATAAATGAAGCTCAGAACCAGCAATATCAATTCAGAGGTAAAGAGTAAAAACCAATGACCTCCATTAGCACGTTTAAAGAAGCTCCATATCCACAGACAATGACAGACTTTACTCAAAATCATGCTCAAGATGTAATTACAACCTGCTCTCTCTCTCTCTCTTTCTCTTTCTTTCTTTTTTTTCGAGACAGGGTCTCACTCCCATTTCCCAGGCTGGAGTGCAGTGGCACAACCACAGCTCACTGCAGCTTTGACTTTCCTAGCTCAGGTGATCCTCTCACCTCCTGAATAGCTGGGACTACAGGTATGCACCAACATGCCTGGCTAATTTTTGTATTTTTTTGTACAGACAGAGATTTGCCATGTTGCTCAGGCTGGTCTCAAACTCTTAGGCTCAAGCAATCCACCTGCCTCAGCCTCCCAAAGTGGTGGGATTACAGGTGAGCCACTACCCCTGGTCTCAAGACATAATTACAAGGAAAGATGCAATCAACTCCCTGACAAGTCTTCCACACCAGTATTGGTAGGGAAGGAGAGCTGGTCTGGGCACATGTGGCTACAAACACTTCAAAAAAACATACTGATTCTCTGGAACTTCTAGACTGAAAACTTCACTTTCTTTTCATTTTTAGATGAGAACAGTATCCCTCGCCTGGAGATCAGGTAATGACTTCATCTGAATTAGATACCTTACCATCTTGTAAGCAAGATGATAGATGTCCTCTGTACCTATGTCCCTGCATTGCTTTTGCACCAATAACTAAAGTCAAGTTGCAGCATGTTCTAACTGTCCCTGCTATGAGTAGAAAAGGATTATTCCCAAAAAGAACAGCAGGATATGCCTTATAGTATTGGCAGCACCAGGAGGACATGACTGAGGATAGATCTTGATTATGTTGGAAGGGGTTGAAGGGAGAAAAGTACATCTTACCAAGAGTTTAGTGGTATGGAGATACTTTGTCATAATTGTGGCCAGGACACCTGGAGTTGATTCTAAGGTACTGCTGGATTATTCCCCAAAGGTTGTGAAAAACAGTGGCCTATAATAAACAAGGTGTAGGTAGTGAAAGTGCCTGGACAGGGATTTGAAGTTAAAGGTATATAGAAGTGGGCATTTTAGCATGGATTTCTTATGTATGACCAGAGAAACCATCTATTAGTTTTGTTCCTCAGGAGAGCCTAGGTAGCACTCCCAAT
The DNA here is from genome assembly GCF_000001405.40 of Homo sapiens. NCBI lineage: Eukaryota > Metazoa > Chordata > Mammalia > Primates > Hominidae > Homo > Homo sapiens. Next base: position 54,044,424 of record NC_000010.11, read on the forward strand.
TCTGAAGCAATATAGAAAGGTGCAACAAGAGGTGCTCTGGTATCATTGAAAAGTTCAGTGATGGCTCTCCTCACCAGGCCAGAGTAGAGGGTAGTGAATGTTGCTATGAAACTTGTGTTCCTTAGTGTCAATGTGAGTGGAAGAATTCTGGATTCAGAATCCAGGTGGAAATACTCCAATATCAGAGGCAGATGGATGAAATGTATCATAGCAATCAGCAAAAAACAACGTCAAATAAGCTGCTACGAAGTGCAAAGATCTATAAGGATGGCTATCCAACCACGGTGTTCCCAAAGCAAATACAGAAAGGCAGCCAAGAAGGCTATTGCTGGATTTATATAATCTAAAAACATCAAAATCAGGTAAACTAAAGCCGCATCATTGTGTTCTTTCCTGTGATTAATACACATTTGAAGTATGAGTTGCTTTTTTATTGCTGCAGTGATTTGGCCAATATTAATAGCTGAGGACACTGACTATTCTGACTTTGTCCAGAAAATTGCACATAACATCAATTCCAACCAAGAAGTTCATCTCATGGCAAAGTTAGGTGCAATCATATGCATAGGACCACTGGATCTGTTGGCACTAATATACAGTACCACCCAGCAGTGCTGACCTAGTAGAATACTGGAAAAGCCTCTTAAAGATAGAGCTAAGGATGAATTTGGGAATGAAATTTTTCAGGGCCACAGAAGGAATGACCATTGTATGGTACATTTTTCTTGATAAGAAGACTAGATGGAAATGACAAATCAAGGGTTCAGGGTGGGAATGGCCTCTCTCATCATCATCTTGACTAACCCATTTGGGAAAGGCATACTTTCGTCCTTGCAAAGCTAGGCTCTGCTGCACTAGAGATCCTGGTTTTCTGAAGACCGGGGTGATGTTTTCACTGAGATGACATAGTAAGGGTCCCATTAAACCAATATTTATGGTTAGTCAGTAGAAATTATTGGCTCTTTATGCCAACAAATCACAAAGTACAGAAAGAAATCACTACACCTATGAAAATAGCTAAAATTTGATGAAAAAGATGAGAGAGCTTGCTCTGCTAGGTATCAAGACTGTATGTAAAATCACTATAATTGAGACAGTGTGCTATTGCTGCAAGACTAGACTAATAAACCAACACAATAGAATAGAGAGCCCAGAAACAAACCCTCATACACATGTATATGGGATTTATGATAATATGTATTGCGAGTCAGTGGGAAATATATATATTTATATAGAAGAAAACAAATTATACTCCCACCTCACTCCACACACAAAAATCATTTCAGATGATAAACCTATTACGAATAACAAGACAATAAATCTTTAAAAAGCAGGTCCTTCATGACCTGAGGAAGTAGGCTATTTTTTAAGCAAGGTCAAAAGAATAGTAACACTTACAAAATGATGGATAAATTTGATAATCTTAAAATTTAAATCTGTGTGTCAAAAGATATCTTGCAGGAAGTGAAATGGAAGCTCGAGAATGGGAGAAATGTTTGAAACATATATAACAAAGGAGGGGCTCATTTCTATAATAATCAAAGAACTCCCACAGATAAAAAAGAACATTCAAGAAGAAAACACATTTACTCCAACAGATAAATAAGAAACTCAAATAGGCATTTCGGAAAAGACGAAATTCAAAATAGTAAGTAAATATATGAAAAGATTCTCAATGCCATTAGCAAAATGCTAATCACGATCATAATGCGATATCACTGAAACCGTAACAAGGTGGCTCAAATTAGAAAGACTGACATACCAAGCACACAGACAGGAACCATGACCAACTCTCATATACAACTCTTGGCATAGTTACTATGGAAAACAATTTCGCATTTCCAACAAAATTGAATAGACACATGTTCATAACATAGAGAAACTCAGGCACATGAGCGCCAGGAGAAATGATATAAACATATTCACAGCAGCACTGAAGATAACATCCTCAAACTGGAGAGCTCTCAAACACTCATCAACATGAGAATGTGAAAATAAATTGTGGCATAGCCACAAACAGCAAATAAATGAATGAACAGGTAGAAATGTGGCTGAATAGTAAAAAGTTAAATATGAATGAAAGAAGACAGATACTAATGCACACACACTCTAAAATTCTGTTTACAGGCTTCGAAAAAAGACAAAACTAAACTATAATGTTTATAAATGCTTACTTAGATGGTAAATGTGCAACAAAAAAACCCAGGAAATTAACATAGTGGTTAACTCTAGGTGGAGGAAAGCAATTGCGCCTGAGAAGGAGCATGAAGAAAGATTTTCTGGTGATGCATTCTATACCTGATTTGGACTTACATTTATGTTTACTGTATAATAATATACTAAACTGTACATTTATCTTTAAATCACTTTTGTGTATTACATTTTTTTTCTTAAAGTTTAAAGGACAAGAGTTGGTCTTAATAAAAATCTCCGGATATAGCTGGAATTCTTTCTGTAAAACCAAGTTGGTTGCCAAGCTTATTCCTCAGGTAGGCAATAAAGTCCACGTAAGTAATTGTAGTGAGTTATAATATTTGTAGAGAAGGAAAACTGAACTGAACTAAAGTGAATAGGTCATGAATTTTCATCAGTCTATAAAACAGAAGTGCAATTTGTATAAAGTAGGATCTCATAAATAAGTAATGTAGCATTAAAATATATAGCTAGATAGATGTAGCAGGGGTTTGTGAGGCAAAATTACTTGGTATTGCTTCTTGGATATACATTAAATAATTTAAATGGGGAAATGGAAAACACAATTTCAAATACATGACCAAATAGGCTGATAGCATGTCTGTTATACTTTTCTTCCATGTAGTTTTTACGCCTGGGAAATGCCTTCATTATCTTTGCCTGTCCCATGAGTGGGTAAAGAGATGTGCTATTTTTTCCAGTACCAACTATAAATTTCAATTGTTCTTTGCATTCACACTGCTGTGTGTGGTGGGGGGTGGGGGTGATAATCACTTTTTTTTTTTTATTTCAACTTTTATTTAGATTCATGCATGGATGGTACATGTGTAGGTTTCATAGAAGGGCATATCATGTAATGCTGATATCTGGGGTACTAATAATTCTATTGCCCATGTAGTGAGCATAGTACCCAATGGTTGTTTTTTTCAGTTTTCAACCCTTGTGCCCCTCCCCCAGTCTCTTCTCTAGTAGTCCCTAGTGTTTATTGTTCCCAACTTTATGTCCATGTGTACCCAGTGTTTCAGTCCCACTTACATCTGAGAATAGGTGGTATTCGGTTTTCTGTCCCTGCATTAATGTACTTAAAATAATGGTCTCCAGCTGTATTCATGTTGCTGCAAATGACATGATTTCATTTTTTATGACTGTTTAGTACTCCATGCTATATATGTACCATATTTTCTTTATCAAATCCACCATTGTTGGGCATCTAGGTTAATTCCATAAGTTTGCGATTGTAGGTAGTGCTGTCATGAAAATACAAGTGCATGTGTCTTTTTGGTAGAATGATGTATTTTCCTTTGGGTATATACCCAGCTATAAGAATGTTGGTTCAAGTGGTAGTTCTGTTTTTAGTTCAGCCACTGCAGAAAGCAGTTTGGAGATATCCACATTTACATTTCCACCAACAGTGTATATGCATTCCCTTTTTTCCACACCTTTGCAAACATCTGTTATCTTTTGACTTTTTAATAATAGTCATTTTGACTGGTGTGAGATGGTATCTCATTCTGGTTTTGATATGCATTTCTTGATGATTTATGATGTGGATCATTTTTTCATTTGTTTGTTGGCTGCTTGTATGTCTTGAGAAGTGTCTGCTCATATCTTTTGCCAAATTTTTAATGGCCTTATTTCTTTTTTGTTTGTTGAATTATTTTAAGTTCTTTATAGAATCAGGATATTAGACATCTAAAAGCTGCATAGTTAGCAAATATTTTCTCCCATTCTGTAGGTTGTTTACTCTGTTGATATTTTATTTTGCTTTGCAGAAGCTCCTTAGTTTAATTACGTCCCACTTATCAATTTTTGTTTTTGTGGCAATTGTTTCCAAGACTTAGTCATAACTTCTTTGCCAAGGCTGATGTCCAGAATGATATTTCCTAGGTTTTCTTCCAGGATTTTTATAGTTTTGCATCTTACATAAGTGATTAGTGCATCTTGACATACTTTTTATACATACTGAAAGGGAGGAGTGCAGTTTTATTCTTTTGCATATGGATAGCCAGTTATCCCAACATTTATTGAATAGGAAGTCCTTTTCTGATTGCTTATTTTTGTTGACTTTATAATCAAATGGTTTAATTCTGGGGTCTCCATTCTGTTCCGTTAACCTATGTGTCTGTCTATGTGTAGCCTATACTACTGTAGGCTTGTAGTATAGTTTGAAGTAGGATAATGTGATGCCTTTGGTTTTGTTCTTTCTGCTTAAGATCGCTTTGGCTATTCAGGTTCTTTTTTGTTTCCATGTAAGTTTCAGAACAGTTTTTTTTTTTTCTAATTCAGTTAAATGGTACTGGTAGTTTGATAGGAGTAGCATTGCATCTACAGATTGCTGTGGGCAGTATGGTCATTTTAATGATATTAACTCTTCCAATCCATGAGCATAGAATGCTTTTCCATTTGTTTGTGCCATCTATGATTTCTTTCAGCAGTGTTTTGTAGGTCTCCTTGTAGCAATCTTCCACTTCCAAATTTAGATGCATTCCTAGGTATTTTATTTTCACTTGTGACTATTGTAAATGTAATTGCACACTTGATTTGGCTCTCAGCTTGACTGTTATTTGTGCATAAAAATGCCACTGATTTTTTTTACCTTGATTTTTGTATCCTAAAACTTTACTGAAGTTACCAGTTTCAGTAGCCTTTTAATGGAGTCTTTAGGGTTTTCTAGGTATAGAATAATAATTTCAGTGAGGAGAGATATTTTGACTTCTTCTGTTCCTACTTGGATGTCTTTTATTTCTTTCTTTGCCTGATTTCTCTAACTAAGATTTCTGGTAATATGTTAAATAGGAGGGGTTAGAGTAGGCATCCTTCTCTTGTTCCAGTTCTCAAGGTGAATGCTTTCAGCATTTTCATGTTCAGTATGATGTTGGCTGTGGATCTGCCATAGATGGATCTGATTATTTTGAAGTATTTTCTTTCAATGCCTAGTTTCTTGTGGGTTTTTATCATGAGGAAATATTGGATTTTATCAAAAGCTTTTTCTGCATCTATTGTGATGATTTTTTTTTTTTTTGAGACGGAGTCTCGCTCTGTCACCCAGGCTGGCATGCAATGGCGCAACCTTGGCTCACTGCAGTCTCTGCCTCCTGGGTTCAAACAATTCTCCTGCCTCAGCCTCCCAAGTAGCTTGCACTACAAGCACCCGCCACCAAGCCTGGCTAATTTTTGTCTTTTTAGTAGAGATAGGGTTTCACCATATTTACCAGGCTGGTCTCAAACTCCTGACCTTGTGATCCACCCTCCTCGGCCTCCCAAAGTGCTGGGATTACAGGTGTGAGCCATGGTGCCCAGCTTTGTCATTTTGAGATACTTTTTAGTATGCTGTGAAATTCAGTTAGGTAGTATTTTGTTGAAGATTTTTATGTCTCTGTTCCTCAGTGGTATGGGCCTGTAGTTTTCCATTTTAACTGTGCATTTACCAGATTTTAGTATCAGAATGCTGGCCTCACAGAGTGCGTTAGGGTGGAGTCCCTCCTACTCGAAGTTTTGGAATAGTTTCAGTAGGACTGGTGCCAGCTCTTCTCTGTATGTCTGGTAGAATTTGGCTGTGAATCCATCCTTTCAAGGGCATTTTTTGATCGGTAGATTTTTCATTACTAATTTAATTTCAAAACTCATTATTTTTCTGTTCAAGCTTTTGATTTCTTCTTGATTCAATCATGGGAGCTTGTGTGTTTCCAGGAATTTATCCATTTCATCTACATTTTCTAGTTTGTGTGCATAGATGTGTTCATAATAGCATCTGAGGATCTTTTGTATTTCTGTGAGGTTAATTGTAATGTCATCTTTTGTCATTTCTGCTTGTTCTTAATTGGATTTCCTCTCTTTTTATTTGTTAATCTAGCTATAGGTCTATAAATCTTGTTCATCTTTTCGAAGAACCAACTTTTGGTTTCATTGATCCTTTATATAGATTTTGGGGCCTCAATTTAATTCAGTTCTTTCTGATTCTAGTTATTTGTTCTCTTTTGCTAGACATAAGGGGTTTTGTTTGTTTGTTTGTTTGTTTTTCCCTAGATCTTCCAGGCATGATGATAGAGTATTAATGTGAGTTATTTCTATATTTTTGATGTATGTATTTAGCACTATAGACTTTCCTCTTAATGCTACTTTTGCTGCATCGCTGAGATTCTGGTGTTGTAACACTGTTTTTTAAATCAACTGTATTGATATGGTTTGGCTGTGTCCCCACCAAAATCTCATCTTGATTGTAGTTCCCATAATCCCTACATGTCATGGGAGGGACCTGGTTGGAGGTAATTGAATCATGGGAGCAGTTACTTCTATACTGTTCTCGTGATAGTAATTGAGTTCTCAAAAGATCTGATGTTTTACAAGCATTTTTTCTCTCCCTTCACTCTGCATTTCTCTGCTCCTGCTATCATGTGAAGAAGGATGTGTGTGCTTCCCCTTCCACCATGATCGTAAGTTTCCTGAGGCTTCCCCAGACATGCTGAACTGTGAGTCAATTAAACCTCTTTCCTTTGTAAGTATCCCCGTCTCGAGTATGTCTTTATTAGCAATGTGAGAACAGACTAGTACAGTACATTGGTACCACAGAAAGTAGGGTTGCTGTAAAGATGCCTGAAAATGTGGAGGCAAATTTGGAAGTGGGTAACAGGCAGAGGCTGGAACAGTTTGGGGGGCTCAGAAGAAGATCTAAAAATGTGAGAAAGTTTGGAACTTCCTAAACACTTGGAAGGCTAGGAAGACAGAAAGAAGTGGGAAACTTTGGAACTCTCTAGAGACTTGTTGAACGGCTTTGACCAAAATGCTGGTAGTGATTTGTACAATGAAGTCCAGCTGATGTGGTCTCAGCTGAAGATGGGGAACTCGTTGGGAAATAGAGTAAATGTCGCTCCTGCTATGCAAAGAGACTAGAAGCATTTTGCCCCTACCCCAGATACCTGTGGAACTTTAAACTTGAGAGAGATTATTTAAGGTATCTTGTGGAAATTTCTAAGTGCCAAAGGGTTCAAGAGAAAACAGAGCATTAAAGTCTGGAAAATTTGCAGCCTGATGATGTGATAGAAAATAAAAACTCATTTTCTGGGGAGAAATTCAAGCCTGCTGCAGAAATTTGCATAGATAACAAGGAACCAAATGCTAATCACCAAGACATTGGGGAAAATGTCTCCAGGGCATATCAGAGACCTGCACAGCATCCTTTCCCATCATAGGCCCAGAGGACTAGGAGAGAAATGGTTTTATGGGTCAGGTCCAGGGCCCACTATGCAGCCTCAGTACATAGTTCCCCATGTTCTGCCTGCTTCAGCTCCAGCCGTGGCTAAAAGGGGCCAATGTATAGGTCCAGGTGTTGCTTCAGAGGGCACAAGCCCTAAGCCTTGGCCGCTTACATGTGGTGTTGGTCCTGTGGGTGCACAGAAGTCAAGAATTGAGGTTTGGAAACCTCTGCCTAGATTTCAGAGGAAATATGGAAATGCCTGGATGTCCAGGCAGGAGTTTGCTATAGAAGTGGTGCCCTCATGGAGAACCTCTGCTACGGTAGTGCAGAAAGGAAACATGTGGTCAGAGCCCCCACACAGAGTCCCCACTGGGGCACTGCCTAGTGAAGCTGTTAGAAGAGGGCCACCATCCTCCAGACTCCAGAATGGTGGATCCACCAACACCTTGTACCATGTGCCTAGAAAAGCCGCAGGCACTCAATGGCAGCCCATGAAAGCAGTTAGGAGGGGGGCTGTACCCGCCAAAACCAAAGGGTTGAAGCTTCCCACGGCTATGGGAGTGTCACTCTTGCATCAGCATGACTTGTATGTGAGACATGGAATCAAAGGAGGTCATTTTGAAACTTTAAGGTTTAATGACTGCCCTCTTGGATTTTGGACTTGCATTGGGCCTTTAGCCCCTTTGTCTTGGCCAATTTCTCTCATTTAGAATGCATGTGTTTATCCTACGCCTGTACCCTCATTGTATCTAGGAAGTAGTAACTTTTAATTCTACAGGCTATTAGGTGGAAGAAACTTGCCTTGTCTCAGATGAGACTTAGGACTTGGACTTTTGGGTTAATGCTGCAATGACTTAAGACTTTGGGGGACTGTTGGAAGGGCATAATTGTGTTTTGAAATGTGAGGACATGAGGTTTGGGAGGGGTCAGGGGCAGAATGATATGGTTTAGCTGTGTCCCCACCCAAATCTCACCTTGAATTTTAGTTCCCATAATCCGCATGTGTTGTGGGAGGAACCCAGTGGGAGGTAATTGAATCATGAGGGCAATTACCTCCATGCTGTTCTCATGATACTACGTTTTCACAAGATTGATGGTTTTCTAAGGAGCTTTTCCCCGCTTCGCTCTGAACCTCTCCTGCCCCCATGTGAAGAAGGACACATTTGCTTCCTCTTCCACCATAATTGCAAGATTCTTGAGGCCTTCCAAACTATGTGGAACTGTGAGTTAATTAAACCTCTTTCCTTTATAAATTCCCCAGTCTAAGGTGTGTCTTTATTAGCAGTGTGAGAACAGACTAGTACATGTAAGTATACTCTTACACATACTGAAATTCTAAAAGTGGACATATATCCAATATCAAAGCTTTTTATTTATTTGTCAAGAGAACTTATTTATGTGTTTGTATGCTTGTGAGGTAAGACAAATATGTATGTTTAGATGCTGACATATACTTTACCGGTTCTCTTTTTACATTTAGGAATCTTCATTACAAAACTTTACTTTTAGATAATTTTATGTCATTAAATTTAGTTTCATTTCATGTATGTACATACATTATGCAAGGGCTAAGCCAAGCGTTGGGCTATGTAGTGAAATTTCTAACATCAATCTCTACTTTCAAGATGTTTAGATAAATAGACAACATAAATATACTCTAGCAATTACTATCAAAATTTGTACACAGTATTACATGAGACCATGAATAGAAAACACCGAGGGTATAGGAAAGTTCACAAAAGATTTTCTGGAAAAGATTATAGTGGCTAAATTTTCAAGTATCTGAGTTATCTTTAAAAAATGGAGAAAAAGAAAATCAAGGTGGGGGTATAAACAGATGCAAAGAGACATATATTAGCAATTGTGAGCAAGTGAGTATGGCTAGAGATAAAGTTGTCAAAGTAATAGTGTGAGGTGGGTACTGTGTTTTGTTTGTTCTGTGGGTAATAATAACCATATTGTGTACTTAAGTTATTTGTTAGTTAGAGACATAATTCCAGAATTTACATCACAGATAATTATAAAGTGTCAAGACCAGTATCAGGATAACTAACTCACAGGCTGTAGCAATAGTTCAAGTGAGAAATAATAAGAGCCTGATTATGGTTGTTATGAGAGAGAGAATGTGAGAAAAATTTGTAACATGTAAAATGATCAATATTGGTGATTACTTGGATATGGAGAGTGAGAGAGAAAGAGGAGACTTAGATGGCTCCTTAGCATTTGGCTTGGGGAATAGTTAATTGAGGTACAGAATTCAGAAGGAGCCCTTTCTGGGGAAGACGAAAATAAGACTTCAATCTTAAAAATGTTGAAATTTAGATGCTTTCTGGAAATTCAAGTGGATATTTTACAGATATATGTCTATTTGAGGCTGTAGCTTAAAGGAGTAGAAGGAAAATAAGCATCTCAATGTAAGTAAAGCTGTCGGCTTTAATGTAATTGCAATTGATAAAAAAGGAATACATAGAGTCAAAAGGGCAACTTAGATGATACTTTCAAAATCCAAAGTTTAAGGAGCAAACAGATAAGGGGAAGACAGAATTAGATGTGCTTAAACATGAAAACTAGCAGCAAGCAGGTAGTAGAATCTTAAGAAAAAAGAGAGACAGAGAGAGATCCTATAGCAATAGAGCAGTAAAGTGACTTAGATAAAGATAACATTTAAAAGCACAGTGGTCATTTGTGACCATAAAGTGGACACAGATATCATTCATTGTATAGCTGGGATTTCACAACTATAAATATTTACACATACACACACACACAATAATGTGTATTTTTCTAATAGCTGATATTAAGCCTAAACATTGCTAAAGGGGTAGGCCCTAAATAAATATTGTAAAAATATATTCTTAAAATTTTCTAATCTATTTATGAGCTGCTAATTGAATATCTGAAACATGACCACATTTCAAAAATAGTCACAGACATTAGGTAGATTTCTATTGTAAATATTATTATGTAGCACATTTATATTGACATAACCAATTTTTCAAATTGTGTGGGCTTTTTTCTTTATCAGAATGAGTTACAGGGTTTGCATTATATAGTTTGGCTTAAAAAGAGAACTCATAAAATTCCCCACTTGCAGCCCACTTAAAAAAGAATTATTACAGTTTTAGGCACTGTTGAGTGTCATACTGAGCTACAAAAAATAAGAAATCACCATAATGCTCTCCACCTTCATTTTAGTTTTAGAACCCCACACAGGGAGACAACTATAGTAATCAGAGTTAGGCCACTGAGGTTCAGATTTATTTTGTTTAATATTAAATTGTATAGTTGAAGGAAACATCATTTTTTTAATGACTGTATCACTACCCTTCCAAACACTGTAGTTTACTAATGATTTTAAAACTTCTTTAAGTGCTTAAGACAGAAACATTCCTACAATATCTTAGCTAAGATTTAGCATGCAGGTCTCATACTGGGAATACATTTGTGTTTTAAGTTAAATAAATTCAGCCTCTTATTTAGAACTGGAAGAACATGTTGTAGACTTATGGTTCTATTTTTGTTACCTAGACCTCAAAGAAGTCAGTTCAGTAGAAAAATTTATACAAGGTATTACATGGAAGTTTACTGGGAATCAGCTTACTCTATATTATACAATGCTGAGAACATTGTTTAATCTTTGTTTAAACATTGTTTAACAGGCAGTATAGTTTCCAAGTGTGCCTTCTCTAATGCATTTGTGCAAGCATTTATGCCCAGGGTTGCTATGAAAAACAGAGATAAATAATTTAGTCCTTAAACTTGAGAATTCTGACCTTAGCAGACTCCTCAATGAGATACTCCTACAAAGGCCAGACACCTCTGATATTAGCTGAAAGCCTTCCTACCTCCACTTCCCTCCCCCCTCAACCTCCATCCACCCATGTCTCACATACAGAAATGCACTAAAGCATATAGTGTGATAAGTGTGCTGAAGTAAAAGGCCACCTCTTTTTCTTTTATGCTGAATTATGTTAATAAGTACAAAGAAGTTTTTCTCATGATCATGTATCTTAGACAGAATTTACTGAAATAGATCTTTATCTTCTCACTTTCTAACCCAGACTGATGATTGAATTCACAGAACATTAGTTGAGAAAACAAATGAAAATGACAGAAACCATGTTGAACTATGCATCATGTTCTCCTACTTCTGATGACATCAGGTTTATAATGAGACCAGATTCATCTGTCTGACTGTTACACATTAGCATAAATTATTCCCAGGAAATCCTTCAATTCTCTTTTAGGAATAAATAAGATTCTGAGAGGCACATCCAAGTCCATTGTTGGGATTATGCCATTTTTAATTGATATATAATATATGTACATATTTATGGGGTACATGTGATATTTTGCTGGAATGTGTAAAAATCAAATCAGGGAATTTGGGGTGTCCATCACTTAGAGTATTTACCATTTCTGTGTGTGGACATTCCAAGTTCTCTCTTCAAGCCACTTGAAAATATACAACACATTGCTGCTAACCACAGTTGCTGTATTAGTCTGTCCTAATGTTGCTAAAAAAGGCATACCTGAGACTGGATAATTTATAAAAGAAAGAGGTTTAATTGACTCACAGTTCCACATGGCTGGGGAAGCCTCGCAATCATGGCAGAAGGTGAATGAGGAGCAAAGTCACACCTTACATGATGGCAGGCAGGAGAGAGCTTGTGCAGGGGATCTCCCATTTATAAAACCATCAGATCTTGAGAGACTTATTCACTACCATGAGAACAGTGTGGGGAAAACTGCCCCCATGATTCAATTATCTTCACCTGGCCCCTCCCTTGACACATGGGGATTATAATTCAAGGTGAGATTTTCGATGAGGACACAGCCAAACCATATCATCCCATCCCCAGCCCCTCCCAAATCCCATGTCCTCACATTTCAAAACCAATCATGCCTTCCAAAAGCCACCCAAAATCTTAACTCATTTCAGCATTAACTCAACAGTTGAAGTCCGAAGTCTTATCTCAGACACAGCTAGTTCCTTCCGTCTATGAGCCTGTAAAATCAAAAGTGAGTTAGTTACTTCCTAGATACACTGGGGATACAGGCATTGGGTAAATATACCCATTCCAAATGAGAGAAATTGGCCAAAACAAAAGGGCTACAGGCCCCACGCAAGTCCAAAATCCAATGGGGAAGTCAAATCATGAAGCTCCAAAATGATCTCCTTTGACTCCATGTGTCACATCCAGGTCATGCTGATGCTAAAGATGGGCTTCCACAGCTTTGGGCAGCTCCACCCCTGTGACTTTGAAGGGTAAAGCTCCCACTCCTGGTTGTTTTCATGGGCTCATGGGCTGGTGTTGAGTGTCTGCGACTTGCCAGGCCCAAAGTGCAAGCTGTCAGTGGATTACTATTCTTGGGGCTGGAGGACAGTGACCCTCTTTTCACAGCTCCACTAGGCAGTGTCCCAGTGGGGACTCTGTGTGGGGGCTCCCACCCACATTTCCCTTCTGCACTACCCTGGCAGAGGTTCTCCATGAGGGCTCTGCCCCTGCAGCATAACTCTGCCTGGACATCCAGGCATTTCCATACATCCTCTGAAATCTAGGCAGAGGTTCCCAAACCTTAATTATTGACTTCTGTGCACCTGCACGATCAACACCATGTGGAAGCCGCCAAGACTTGGGGCTTGTAACCTCTGAAGCCCTGGCCTGAGCTATACCTTGGCCCCTTTTAGCCATGGCTAGAGTGGCTGGGATACAGGGCACTAAGTCATGAGGATACACACAGCAGAGGGGTCCTGGACCCAGCCCAGGAAACCATTTTTTCCTCCTAGGCCTCTGGGCCTGTGATTGGAGGGCCTGCCATGAATGTCTCTGAGATACCCTGGAGACATTTCCCCCATTGTCTTGGTGATTAGCATTTGGCTCCTCCTTACTTATGCAAATTTCCACTGCTAGTTTGAATTTCTCCTCAGAAAATGAGGTTTTCTTTACTACTGCCTCATCAGGCTGCAAATTTCTCCAACTTTTATGCTCTGTTTCCTCTTGAGCACTTTGCCACTTAGAAGTTTCTTCTGCTAGATATCCTGAATCATCTCTTTCAAGTTCAAAGTTACACAGATTCCTAGGGCAGGGGCAAAATGCCACCAGTCTCTTGCATAGCAAGAGTGACCTTAACTCCAGTTCCCAACAAGTTTCTCATCTCCATCTAAGATCACCTCAGCCTAGACTTTATTGTCCATATCACTATCAGCATTTTGGTCAAAGTCATTTAATAATTCTCTATGAAGTTCCAAACATTCCCTCATCTTCCTGCCTTTTGAGCCCTCCAAGTCTCTAGGAAGTACCAAACTTTCCCACATTTTCCTATTTTCTTCTGAGCCCTCCAAACTGTTCCAACCCAGGCCTGTTACCCAGTTCCAAAGTTGCTTCCATATTTTTGGGTCTCTTTCCAGCAGCACCACACTCTACTGGTACCCATTCACTGTATTAGACTGTTTTCATGCTGCTAATAAACACATACCTGAGACTGGGTAATTTATCAAGGAAAGAAGTCTAATTGACTCACAGTTTCACATGGCTCAGGAGGCCTGCTTTCATGGCAGAAGGCAAATGAGGAGCAAAGTCCTGGCTTACATGGTGGTAGGAAAGACAGCGTATGCAGGGGAACTCCCATTTATAAAACCATCACATCTTGTGAGACTTACTCACTATCCCAAGAACAGCATGAGAAAGACCTGCCCTGATGATTCAGTCACCTCCCACCTGGTCCTTTCCACGACGTGTGGGAATTATGGGAGCTACAGTTCGAGATTTGGGTGGGGATACAACCAAACCATATCGGTCATATCCCCAAACCATATGGTTGGGGATACAACCAAACCATATCTGCTATCTAACATTAGAACATATTTCTTTCTTTCTTTCTTTCTTTTTTTTTTTTTAGACCAAGTTTTGCTCTTGTTGCCCAGGCTGGAGTGCAGTGGTGCAATCTCAACTCACTGCAACCTCTGCCTCCTGGGTTCAAGCTATTCTCCTGCCTCAGCCTTCCTGGGTAGCTGGGATTACAGAGATGTGCCACCATGCCCAGCTAATTTTATATTTTCAGTAGAGACAGGATTTCTCCATGTTGGTCAGGCTAGTCTCAAACTCCCGACCTCAGATGATCCACCCGCCTCGGCCTCCCAAAATGCTGGGATTACAGGCATGAGCCACCACACCTGGCCAGAACTTATTTCTTCTAACAGTATGTTTGTAACAACTTTCTTCATCAGCCCCATCCTCCACCACCACCACTCTTCTCAGCCTCTGGTATCTATCAGTCTACTCTCTATTTCCATGAGAACAACTTTTTCAGCTCCAGCCTATGAGTGAGGACATGTGATATTTGTCTTTCTATTCTTGATTTATTTTACTTAACATAATAACCTCCATTTCCATTCATATTGCTACAAATGAAAATGATTTTCATTATGCCACTTTTAAACATGAACATTTGACAAGAAATTGACTTATTTATTATTGTTATGTAAAGTAACTAGTTTAGGCTAAATTGGGTCTACTGTTGGGAGTATGCACAATAACAGTAATACAATAATAATTATGCATAACCCCAACAACAGACCCAGCTTTACCCTATTTATCTTATATAACAATAAGTAAATACATAATACATAAAAGAATTTTATATTTTTCCTCTAACACATAATATTTCTTTATCTCCCTTTTCCTTTTTCTCTCTTTCTTACATATACACATGCGCTTGTGCATGGCACAGGTTAGTATAAACCAGAATCAATGGCAGAGCTCACTAAAACACAGATTTCTGGCCCCAACACTAGGGTTTCTGATTCAATCTCTGTGGTATAGAGTATAGCAGTCTGCATTTCTAAGGTGTTTCTATTGGTGCTGATGCTGATGCTGATGCTGCTTTTCCAGGAACAACACTTTGATAGCCACCTAACGCATGTTTGTATTTTTTCAGTTCAGATACGCATGAGCAAGTCACAGGAAGCATGGTCATTGGAGAATCCTGTATAGTAGAGTGGTTAAGACCAAACATTTGAAAGTAATTCAAATATGTACAATGGAAAGCATTTAGAATAGTTCGTGGCACATTGTAAGAATTCAAAAATTGATAGTCATTATTACTGATTTTTTACTAGAGCTGTCAGTCTATCCAATATGCTTCTTTCAATGCAAGCTCCACATATCCCACTAGCTGGACTTATTTTAAGATGAATAAACAAAAATACAAAAATCAGGATCGCAACCATGAGCTCTATTTTGATAATAACAAATATCTTTCATTTCCTTTAAATTTCTAAAATATCCTACAAATGTGACTATATGCATATATATGTTCATGTACTAAATGTTGATTTGTACATTTGTTATTATCAAAGACCAAGCTTTGGCTAACACACTTAAAAAGGATAAACGCTGTTTATAATCTGACTGACTATGATTGTTTGTAGTGATGCAGTAGAAGAAAATCATTTATCAACTTAAGATTTTATAGTTTCTTAAGAACAGTACTTCCATTAAAATGTTCTCTAAATATGGTAATATTAGGCAAATGCAAGAGTGCAACTACCGTATTTCGAAAAATCATAAACAATTGTTTGCATTTAGTTCATAGTGTTGTAAAAAATATTACTTTCTATAATATACGTAGCCATACTTTATAAATTATTTAGTATTTAACATAATTATAATAAAAATTAAGTGCATATTAGCTTCATTCCTTATTTTAAACCTGTACATATATTATGTGTATGTATTAATCCTTCAAATCACTACTTGAGATGAATTCTATTATTATCTCCATTTTGCGATAGCGAAATCCAGTCCCAGAGAAGCTAAATTAGTTATCCAAGATTGCATTAGTTATTTTGGCAAGTCAAATTTGAACTCAGGTAGTTTTATTCCATGGCCCATATTTTAAGCTGTTCATTAAGTTCTCCATCTTGTTGGGATGCTGGGTCTGGATTCATGGAGTCACGTGATCTAGTGACAGGATGAACCAAGTGACCAGGGAGTGGTCGTCTCATTAAAGTATGTAAGGAGCATAAGAGGTGAGGGTTGTTAGGTAAGATGAGAAGTCCGGGATCCCTGTGTGGTGAGTCTAGAAGTCACAGTCCAGTATAAAACAGGCTTTTAAAGGTAAGTGGCTGGAAAGCTGGACACTGATTTAGTAGACTGGCTTAGAGTCAGTCTATCTAAAGGCTGAATGGACCTTCACAGAAGTTATATCATGCTCTGCTGTTGTATATTCCCAAATGCCTATTCCTTTGAGACTTGAGGGGTCCAGGACCAGGCCTGCAGATTTGATCAGAATATGACTGCATTTGGGGGCTTCTACTGGCATCTGCTCCCCCAAAGACTTGGGATCATCTGAGAGTTCTGCAGTTGAGTATGAGGCCTCTAGTAAGAGGCCTCTCATATCTGAGACCCATTCTAAAGATCAATTATTTGCATGCTTGTGGTCCACAGTCAAGATATGCATACAAATCCTCTAGATTCTATCTCCTGTGAAATACTCTCAAGGATACTAGGCAAAATATTACACTAAGTCTTCATATCATTCACTATTTCATTAGGCCCCATCTGAACTCAATGTATTTTTAATCATTTTTCCAGAACTCCTTTAAACAGCTCTTCCATTATTGTCAGAATACTGACTTAGAGTCCTCAAATTGCTTCTTCAGCTGGATTATATTTCATATTACATTTTTTTGGCTGGTATTTTTATTTCCTTTTTTTTTTAAATTTCCAACAAAGATTTCACTAATACATTGAAAAGAACCAAGAATAATCTGCTTTTCTCATGAACCCTAACCTGGCCACCTCAGTCTATTATAATGTCTCTTTTTCCTTGCAGTAAAGAATTTATAGCACCCATTTGACACTTGACACAGAGTATATACTTACTGTATTTACTAGGTTTTGAGTATATCTTTTCATACATATTGTTACAGTTTTCAATTCTAAATGCACAAGGTATAATATGATACCTTGTGAATAAAAAGATAAACATTAAAAATTGTTGATTGGTAGGTTATTTTTTAATATGCTGGATAAAACTTTTTGCTATGTATAATCCATAAATTTGCTTCAAAAGTATTCCTTAGTTATTATTTGTTACTACAACACTACCTTTAAAAACTAAATGAGGCCGGGTGTGGTGGCTCAGGCCTGTAATCCCAGCACTTTGGGAGGCCAAGGCGGGCAGATCACCTGAGGTCAGAAGTTCAAGATCAGCCTGGCCAACATGGCACAAACCTGTCTCTACTAAAAGTACAAAAATTTGCTGGGCATGGTGGAGGTTGCCTGTAATCCCAGCGACTCAGGAGGCTGAAGCAGGTGAAGTTTGAACCTGGGCGGCAGAGGTTGCAGTGAGCCGAGGTCACTCCATTGCACTCCATCCAGCCTGGGTGACAAGAGTGAGATTCTGTCTCAAAAAAAAAAAAAAAAAAAAAAAAACAAAAAACAACTAAATGAAAACTCCCTTCAGCATTTTAATTCAAATATTGGATTATTCATATTAAAATATCAATAGAATATAAACACAAAGTTGATAACTCAAATTCAGTATAGTAATTAACAATATGTATCTTGGTTTTAAGTCTTAATAGTTTTTGATGACAATTAAAATTAAATTTTACAAGCAGAGCATGAGTAATTTAGTGAAATTAATATATGATATAATTATCATTAGGTAGCAACCATTATGAGCATCAAAATTCCATCCTATAAACATTACACTGTGCAGAATCAGTTAGATGCAGCCTGCCTTGGATGTCTTCCTCTTCCTTTTTGCTTTCAACATCGTTTTAGTTTTTATGAAAACAAGTTATTGCCTAAAGACCAGGCTAAGGTCCATATTTCAATTTTAAAAACTGAAATAAATTATAGAGGCCATTTCTTATCAAATTTAAGAACCAGGAGACAACAACAAGGTTAACACAATAATTCAAGAACAAAGAATCACTAGGAAAAGCGGGAAAAAAAAAATAAGAAAAAAAGGAAAAGAAATTTAACTAAAAACTAATCATCATGTTGATGTCTACTTGTGTGTTTTTAGTTATATATTCCATCTGGGCTTTATCTCTCCAAGCTAAATAAATTAAGAAAATGGGAAAGATCATTTTTGTAAATAATTTCAATGCTTGTTTGTTTTTAACTGAATAGTTAATATATATATGGCTAAGTGAAGTTTTTCAGTTTTCAGCAATGTGGCATTTTAAACTGACAACTGTAATATAACTTAATTATCATTAATAAAGACGATTACATTAGTTCAAGCCTCATATGCCTGGTTTATTACAATTGCCTCCTACTTCTGCCTTCTGGATTTAGAATCTCCCATTTCAATATATCAGGAGTAATTTTTATAAAATACAAATCAGATGTTGCCATACCTCAGACCCTTTAGTGGCTCCCCCGTCACCTTCTACAACATGGTATAGAAAAGTGTTTATGACATGGTACGTCTTATTCATTGTAACTATGCTATGTCACACTCTGATTTCTCTGTGCCTTTACTTATACAACTAACTTTCCCTAACAGATTCCAACTTCTCTCAACTTCTCTCTTACCTGTGTTCTTCCTTCTTGAGTCAACTTCAGCATTTCTCCTTTGATGATAATTTTTGCACATGCCCCTGTTATAGACTTTATTACCTTGTTTTCTTGGTGTAGCCAAACTTGTCAGTGTCCTATGCATGTCCCTCAGAGCATTTGGTATGCTTTGGCCAACTTCCACCTCCTGGTATTGTCACTGGATCCTAAGGGTGTTGCTTTTCCAGCCAGAAACCTCTGCGGGTGGTGGCGCCTTTGCCCAAGTTTTGCTCGGACTAGCTGTGTTTGTATCACCCACTCCACCTGGCAGGCTGTGCTTGGCTCATGCTACTGGGCTAAATCCGACACTTTGCCAGGGCAAGCCAGGTTCAGAGCAGCGATGGGTGCATGAGCGAGCAAGTGCAGGGTCTTGTCACTGTGCATAGCCACGCACGCTAGCTGCTTTGGCGGGACGGGTAGCTCCAGCCGCCCTCTCCCAGCAAACCTTAGATTGAATCAGATACAGGGCAAGAGCCTTCTGCTGTGAGCACCCGCGTCTGGATGAGGGGCTCCCTGAAGAGCCGCAACTCTTCTCTCCTTTTTGTTGCTCGCCACATGGTGAGGGGGGTGGCAGCTAAACAAGGTTTTAGCCCTGTTTGTGTTACCGCTCTTTCATTCCTGCCATTTGGTGGGTCCCGAGTTTTTGGCCCACATCCAGGAAGAATGAGGTACGCGCACAGCTGGAGAGTTAAGGTGGAGAGGAACTTTACAAAGCTACAGAACAGCTCTCAAGAGACCGAAGTGTGTAGCTCCTATCCATAGGCAGGTTATCCCCATAAGTGTCCAGCTCTCAGCAGAGAGAAGACCCGGAATAGGTAGTTCCTTTCTGCAGAAGGTGGTCCCAGGAGACACGAAGAGGAAATCTCCTCCCTGCAGCTGGTATTCTTGATGTCTGTGTGAGGCTGGCTGGCTCCAGGGTTTTTTTGGGCTCAGAAAGGAGGAAGTACATGTTGATTGGTCCACGGGTGGCCATGGGCAGGCCCGGTAAAAGCACCGTAAGTTTTCACTCTGGGCCACGGACTCCACTGGAACTGATGGGCTGGTCCCCAGGCTTCAGGCCATCCCTGGCTTGAAGGTGGGGCTTCACCAGGGACACCCCACTTTCCACCCAGGAGCCTGTCTTCTGCTGCCATCAATCATGTTGTTCATGGTGCCCAGGCTGTTTATGAGGAGAAGTGCCTGCAGGCCCACAGTGAGCAGCCCTCTGTCCCCTCTTGGCCTCCCTCCTATGTTCATTGGCGCCCAAAGTTCACAGGAGGCTGAGGTGGCAGGGGGCTGGCATGTCAGCACCAACCCAAGCACGCACACACCCAGCCTGGTTGTGACAGCACCTGGGCTCGGCCTGAACTTTGCTTCAAAATTGGAAGGGGTGCCAGGAGCTGGAAGAGGTCAGGCAGGGGGAACAGGCACTTCCGACTCTGTGGGGGCAGGGGAGCTTCCTGGATCCCTGAGAGCACAGAGATGCCTAGGTCTGCAGCCACAGCTGGGCAGCTGGAGCTACACCCAGGATGGCAGGGCTCCCACCCTGCCAACTTGGAAGGGGGTTAGGTTCCTGCCTGCTCCTTGCTCCCACCGGCTCCCTGGAGCATTTAGCCCAGGTCATACCTCCTCTGCTGTAGCTGGTGTCTTTGCAGTGGCTGCTCCAGATGGGCCACTGCTGCCATCAGTATCTACAGCCTGACTCAGTGCCCTTCTATCAGATTATGCTGAGGGAATTTGACTACTTGCTTCTACTGGAGGCAAGAAAATCCAAAAACTTGGCAGCCCATTGGCCAACATTGCAGCTAATTACTCTCAGGATTTAGTGTATATGTTTTCCAGTTCCATAACCTCTCAGGAACTGGACAATTAAAACTATCAGGACAGATAACTCTGATGCATGAGTTTGCATCTTTTTCTAGAGTTTGCCCTTGGAGTGAAGTTTCAGTTCTCCTTATGATTGCTGGTTTAATAGCAATCTTGTTACTGGCTACCTTCTCTTCTTTGCCTCACTTTCTCACTTCCTTATCACTGTTATCTACACTTCTCAAAAAATATTTATACATGAATATTTTGTGTCCAGATTTTCTGTTGGAGAATCCACAGTAAGCCATTGGACACCAGAGGTACTACAGTGTGGGGAGCAGAGCCTTCAGATGGGATGCTGGAGTTGAATCGCTTGTTGGCCAGTTGGTATCAAGACCAGTTGGCATTTTATAACATCACAATGACCAAGATTATCCCCTATGTGAATTGGGATGGCATAAACATATAAGGTTATGTATGCCTTATGCAGTATTTCCAGAATTTGAGATAGTGACAATGATAATGATAATGACTGTGGAGTTGGTAGTTGCAAGTATTGTCAGTGATCTAAAGGAAAAAATGACTTTTAAAAAAGCTTCAACTGGTCAATCAAAATCTCAGGACATGGTGTGAACATCACAAGATCTCTATAACACCATTTAAAGCAACCCTCTCCTTTTGCAGTTTAAAGGAGATTGAGCTAAAAATCAGATCTTGTGCCTGGTTATAAGAATAGCAGAACAGTAGAGAAGCCTCACTTGAAAGCACCAGCACGCCTTCTGTGGAAAAGTCAGAACCTTCACAGGGAAGGAGTAGGACCCTGAACTCTGGGTTTGGAACATCTGGGTGGCTCACACCTCACTAAACCAAGATTCTTTCCTCCCCTGAAGACCACATAAACACCTCATCTGAGGTTGATACTTCAAATTGTGCACATCTTCCTCCAATTTTTTTCTTCTTTGTGACTTCTAGACCAATTATTATGTTCAAGACCAAGAATGGCCCAAATGAGGAAGTACTGTCTCTGTTTTAACAATAAAGGAATTATTCATCAAATGAACCACAGACACCGGCTAATATGTCCAGGTAGATCCAGAAGCACTTAGAAGAACACTAAGAGTAAGTTTACTACGAGTAAATCTTCTGAGTGCTGGAAAAGGTGTGTGTGCAAAATATTAGAAACACACGGTAGACTCTAAAGATAGTATTTACCTAATGTAATGAATTCAAATCTAAATATATATATTTTGAGGTCTAAATGTCCACATCCATACCTAGTAGTATACCTAATTACATGTTTCTGTAAAATGTTTTAATTTCAGAAACTAAAAATATATATTAAATTAGCATACTATCACATTAATCAATGTTTAAATTATACAATAATTATAAAATGTAAATCTGTATCCTTGAAAGTTAATTAAAATATATAGGATATGATTCATTTTTTAAAGTCTTGAAGAATATCCAGCACAGTCATTTAACAGATTACATTAGCTGAGTTTCTTTTGAGAATTAAAATGTAATAAACTTACACTCTTTGAAAAACTACATATAAGATCTATATAAATATTCCACTTACTTTTACTTGACCCACAAAGGCATTGGCTTCTTCTTCCACCACAGATAAATTTCTTGGCAGATAAGGATCAAACACTGGAGCATTGTCATTGACATCTGTCACCACTATGTTTACTGTGGCAGTTGAGGTCTTAAAGAAAAACACAAGCATTAAATGTGAGAGGAGCTATTTTTACTTAGAATTCATTTAAGTAGTCATTCTGGCATTTGTCTATCTGAAAAGCATCTCATTTTTCTTTCTAATCCTTAGCTTTCCAAAAAATAAAAATAAAAAAATAAAAAAATTAAAAAAAAGAAGCTTGCAAAGAAGCTTCCCACCTCAAAAAACAGATGGGAAAAGCAAATGATGATATTAAAGGGCAAACATCTTTTTGGAAATGTCAAGTATTTCCTGGAGGAAAACGGTTTTACCTTTATCTTGTTCACATTTTATGGGTGGCAAGCTTTTGTTTATACACACGTACACTGCTTTATCTCTGAAATGTGCCATTTCTGTAGTTTTTGCTGCTTGTATGTTTGACTGTTTAAAAATAAAACCAGTACATTATAAAATAGCATGGTACATCAAATGAGCATTTTCTGGAAAGCTCATGCTATCGAAAAATGCTACCTTAATAATTTTCTAGGTGTACATTTAAACCAAGAGTTTGAGTACCATATACTAGGCATGAAATGATTATCTTATAAGCATACAGCTTACGGAAATGGTATGCAGGTAAACCTACCAGTAGTGTGTGCTACCTAGTTAAAAGTTAAATCCCTGGCCTGCTGCAGTCAATATTATGTAGGTCAATGACTTCTGCACAATCAATGACTATCTTCATAAGTGATTCAAGCTGGAAACTGCTCTCTCTAATCAAAGCCTGAGTACAGCACAGAACCTCTACCTAGCTCTGTCACAGTGTGGGGCTGATCACAAAAGGCTGAGAGCAAAGGTACAGAGAGAAAGAATATTAACCTGGAAAGTAAGAAACCTGGTATGCTATGGTATTAAATATTTAGTAACTATAAATAAAAAGGAGGAGGAAAAAGCAAGGTGATACTGTCATGAGAGAATTATCCACCTTTTGTTTAAAAAAATGCAAGTTCCATTAATTAGTAAGTGATTTGTAGTGAGAGGCTAAAATCCTGAGCACTAAGAAGTGACTTGAGTGAAGCTGAAAAGGTTTTGCAGCAGTCATGGGGCTAAGGAGTCAAGTGATTTTTTTTATTTTTTATTTTTTTTTATTTTTTTAGCTATTAAAGAGGACAGATCTTGGTAAATACCCAATGCTTTCTGTTGGGGTCACAGAAGTTCTATACCATGCAAGTCATGGTGCTTGGGAAAAAGACCAAACCTCCCTCAAATGTAAACCCAGTATTGAAACTCTGATTGGATTTAGGTGATCTGCCCTTATTTTAACAGAAGCAAAAGCAAATACTTTTTTTAGTAATGTAACTTTATCCCAAGCCTCTATAAATTTTTTCATGCACAGTGTTCAGTAGTCACTTAATAATTACCATGCATAGCAGGGAATTCCTGGGTATTAGTGATGGCTTATTTCTTTATTTGTATGTTGGCTTACCCTTTGAAAATTTATGTTGCTATTCATATGTGATTTGCACACATTTTTGTATTTAAAGTTAAATAAAATTTTTATTTAAAGACACGTACAAAGATGGTCAGAACATCATTATATAGTCAAAATCTGGAAACAACCCAAATGTCCATCGATAGTAGATGGTTATACAGGATTGTGTTTTATATATGCAATGGAATCATATGAAGTACTGAGAATGTACGAACTACTGCTATAAGTAATAACATGGATTAATTTCATGAACCTAAGTTTCTAGAACATAAATAACACATACTATATGATTCCATTTATATAAACTTCAAAAACAGGCATAATCCCTACATGGTGATAAAAATTAGAATACGGGTCACTTTGAAGAAGAAGATCGAATAGCGACAGAAATGATCACAAAGCTGAGCTTCTGGAGTGCTGATTAATTTCTGTTTTTTGTTATGAGTAGTGGTTACATAGGTGTGTTCTCTATGTAAAAATTCATTAAGCTGTAGAATTATTGTTTGTGCATTAGTCTGTGTGTTATATTTTCTTAAGATTATTTACTTTAAAAGATGCACACACACAAACATACACATGTGTGTCGATATATGTAAGTATGTTTAAAGAAATTCAAGTGCTACTTGACTAGATGGAATCCAGATCATTTCATTTTCCTCGTTACTTTTATATATTTTCTAAATGTTCTCCCAAAAGGCTACCATGCTTTCATGACAAAAAGTATTTTAACAAATATTATTTCTTTAAAATTTGCCTTAGAATTGAAAGCAGTAAAGAAGATGTGTTTTTTACAGTTGCGGTAGTTCCCAATTTGCCTGAGGGTTAACAAGACATTGAAATTTACAGCCTGGATCCAAAATCTAAGAATGGTGACCCTGGAGTTTGCTGGCTTTTCTTCAAATTGCCTGACCCCCTTTACACCAGCCTGTCTTTACCTGTCAATCCACTGTTTTTCTCATCCTATTCTTTAAAATTTATATTCATGTTTTCAGAGTATTCTGTATCCTCAGTTTAAGACTGTAACTCTTAAGTGGATAATGAAGAATACAACCAGATCACTAAGTAAACTAAGAAGTCAAATAACAATTCCATAATTTTGTGCTAATAGGGGATGATATTTATGGGACATGCAGGCATTTTCTTCATTTCTTACTGAATTTTATATGACATGAAAAAAATCCATGTCTTACAGAAATGTACAGTCACATCTATACATAGAATAATTTCCAGTTTATATATTTCTTGAAGTTTTTTAATACCACTTGCTTCAGAAATACTTATGTAAAAATGAGGATTTCAGGGCTATCCATTAGGTCTATTGACTATTGTTCTGAACCTATGGAAATATTTATAAATTAGTTAGGTGTAAATCATATTTATTTAATTTTTCTTGATTGGTTCAGAAGGATGGCAACAATATGCTTCAATGTGGATCTGTGCCATAGAGAATGTTTATGTCTTATTAAGGAAAGACTTCTTTTCATTGTTCAAGCTTAAAAATTAGCAAATGAAAACAGATCACTTTAATTAATTGTTAGGACCATATGTCATTAACACATGTTCACAATTAATTTTAAATATGAATATATATATAATGCCAGTTAAATTAAAAAGATCTCAAACTAATAAACCTAATAAATAAAAAGTTACGTATTTTCCATCAACGGAGTTTGCTCACTGATTATTTCCTCAAAAGTTGTATTAACTTATAATTCCACTAGCTGGAAATACTTGCATGTTAGTACTAAATACTGTAATTGAACACTTTCATGTTCATTATTTAATTTAAATGTGTCTTAGAATTTCCTTTTGTAATATCATAGAAGAATTTTCAAAATATATGTCTCATTCTCAACAATGCAAGATATTTCTGTTTTTGTTTGTTTGTTTGTTTTGAGACAAGGTATCACTCTGTCATTCAGGCTGGAGTGCAGTGGCATGATCTCTGCTCACTGCAACCTCCGCCTCCCAGGTTTAAACAATTCTCCTGCCTCAGCCTCCTGAGTAGCTGGGATTACAGACATGTGCCACCATGCCTGGCTAATTTTTGTATTTTTAGTACAGATGGGGTTTCACTATGATGGCCAGGCTGATCTTGAACTCCTGACCTCAAACAATCTGTCCGCCTTGGCCTATCAAAGTGCTGGGATTACAGGCGTGAGCCATCGCACCCAGCTTACTGTTGTAATTTGAATACACATTTATTTTTATAAACTAGTATGGCTCTGAAAGAAGGATATTAATATAGCATCTTTTTTTATTTTCATTGTTGTTGTTTTTTTTGAGACATGTCTCATTCTGTTGCCCAGGCTGGAGTGCAGTATGTGATCATAGCTCACAGCAGCTTTGAACTCCTAGGCTCAAGTGATTCTCTCACCTCAGTCTCCTAAGTAGGTGGGACTACAGGTGCACGCCACTATGCCCAGCTAATTTTTATTTCTTTATTTTATTTTTGTAGAGACAGAGTCTCAGTATGTTGCCTAGGTGGTCTCAAACTTCTCATCTCAATCCCACCTTGGCCTCTCAAAGTGCTGGGGTTATAGGTCTGAGCCGCGATATCCAGCTCATCTTTTGTTTTTTGTTGTTGTTGTTGTTTTTTAATAGTATAAAAAAAGTGAGTTATAAAGCCATAGTCAAAGAAAGTAGTGTAAATTCATCTATCAATACACAATGCATTATTTGAAATTCGTGAGAACATACATTAAGAGTATCTTATTTATTCTCTTCTAGTATTTCCTATCTCAGGAAATGACATGGCAAAATAATTAACTAATTTTCTAAGTCACTTTATCTCATACATGCAATTTATTAGTCACCAAGTCCTGTTAATTTGACCTTGTAAATGCGCCTTGTATTATACAGTTTTGAGCAATGGATAAATAATACAATTTTCATTTCCTGAGTAAATAGCTGGAAGTCAGATAACTGGGTTTTCTGATTAGCATATGTTTAGCTATGTAAGAAAACCAGAAATGTGTTTTGCTCAATAATTTAATGAATAATTTTTAATACATTTTCTTGTTAATCAACTTAATGAACACTTTTAAGGGCAGTGTGTAATACTACGAATTTAATAAGCAATTTTGGCTTTAATCCTAGAGAGGATAAGAGAAGGGATGTTTGTTTTTTATTTAATCACAAAAAAATGCATTTTTTTATCATTTAATTTTTACATCTTTTGACACAAAATTTGTTAAACATTTCATGGCTAGAAAACTATTTCTTTATATTTTGTGTGCATCTCATAGCACAGCCATTTGTTTTGTGCTATTACATTTATATTAGATGATTGAAATTCAATGACATTCAATACATGGTTTAAGAAACATGTATGCTTAGAATTTATCTGAGCAGAGACTCATGGTATGTATAGGAATCAGTCAGGAATATTTCAATTTGTTCATTAAGAAAGCAGAAAACATTATCAGAGGTAAGGTAACACTATAATTATGGAGCACTTATCATTTATCTATTTCTTAAATAAAAACATGAGTGTTTAATTTCAAAGGTGCAATTTCTTTTCTATAGTCAACAAGATTCACTATATATTCTCAGAAATAATAAAGACATTATTTTATTAAGAAATGTGTCTAACGTGTTTACTAATAGAACACACAATGTCAGCTCAATGAATATTTTTAGATACTTTAAATATCTATTTTTATTATAATTTGTACTACATGCTGAAATAAATTACCTTATAACTTATTTTATTTAAATGTCTGAAAAAAGAAGAGCTAGAAAGAATATTGAAAATTTCCATCTGTGAGAAAACACAAGAAATGTTATTTATAGAACACAAAGTTTTCCTATCTGAATAAAAATCTTCACTACTATATCTAAAATTCTTTTCAATAACAATGGGACAATGAGGATTTATAGTTTAGAATTCAATCATTTTTTGTTTAGGCCAATAAAACAAGAAAAATACATATTCAATAATAAGTATAGTATTTAGAGAATATTAATTTAAAACATTTTCATCCTTAAGCGCAAGTCATCTTGTTGCTACACAGTTCAGAGCCAAGCCAACTTCATTCAGATTGTAGAGTTTCATTCATGATGTAGAGTGGAGGTCCTTCCTACCATTAAAGATTAGCCAGGAGGCTTTCTTTCCTTCTGAAGGAAAAAAATATACATAAAATCTAGAATTTCTTTGAGAAAGAGAAAAGGGAAGTTCCTTCTATTATGAATTACGGGAAGGAGAAAGGGAGACACAGAAGAGACATGAAGGCAGGAGGCAGAGGTCCTCCTCCTCATCCCCTACTGCCACTTTGGACCCCTCCTTAAGTGAAGAGGCACTGGAGAAACATTTTGGAAGAAGGGGGAAATGATGACTGGGAAACTAAGAGAAATTTGGGTGAAATAATCACAGTAGTTTTCAGGAGTATGTAAGCCTCCAGAAAATTTCCACAGGTTCCATGGGAGGTCCCATCTAATAGGTTATGGCACTGAATATACAGCAATGGCAGAGAGAGGTGTCAAGAGAGAGAAGCCATACTACCAGCATAAAGGACTGGTAAATACATGTTACATCTAGACCACAATTTTAGAATGAAGTCAGGGAGGAGAGGTTTGGTTGGCAGCTTAACTAGTGAGTATTTATATTGTCTTAAACAGATAATGCTGAAATACTGTTCTAAGAAACTTAAGTGTGACCCAGATTACATCTATTCCCTACCTGTCCAAACACATATTTATACATTATTGTCTAAGTAGGAAGATTGCATCAGGTATAAAAAATAAAGAAGCTTTTTTTTCTCTGTGCACATCTGAGTGTAGTGTGTAAAGATTATATATGTATGTGTGTATGTATGTATACACATTTTATGCAATCGTGCATGTTTTTATATAAATATATATTTTCAAAAATATCAGAAAGTATTTATAGTATACCTGTATACTATAGTATATATAATATAGAACTATAGATATAAATATTTATATATTTGTACATAAACATTTTGCATGTTACATATATTGTAAAGATTCACATATATGACTTAAATGTTTAAAGTTTTACTATTCTATAACCATACGTATTGTGTTCTAAAATATTAAATCAACTATTTTGAAATTCAAAGTTACTTTAACTTCACACATTTTCTCACGCATGTATTTTTGCTTTTGTTAAAGTTTCCTATTTGATTATGAAGTTAAATGCTCAACTTTTAAATGTTAATTGTTCATTTATATTGCCATGTTTCAAAGAAATTTAGGAAATAATATTGCTTCAAGACAAAAACAAAGATGCTAAGTCTTCTAGCAATCTGAAATTGTGAAATATTACAAGTGTTCAGACTGAAAGCCATAACTGAGTAATTCAATCCAGTAATTCAAGAGCATTTTACAGAAATCAAACCATGATGGAATCAAGTTACCTATTGTATCAATTAAGGAGGAAAATAATATTGCTGAACACACGGAATCTGGTCAGAAATATCTAGGCTACAGAATAACTTCACATTTTAAATGAAAAAAATTACTGATCACTGTTCGCATATTTATTTATATCTTTCACTGTGTTATTGGTTGATTAACACAGCTGCAATCCATAAGCCCTACTTCCTAGCTATTTTTCTACCCACTGTTGCTACTTACAGATAAGAATATCTAAAAGGAAATCTGCTAGATGGGGTTTCTGAAAAAACTTTGGTGCTTTGTTAAAATAAAGCAGGGGTGCAGACTCTTCTGGCATTCATCTTTATACTTTGTCTGGTATAGAGAATTGACGTCTAGAGTTGCAGAAGATGGGAATGAAAGTAGACAATAAAAATGGCAAAGCAGAAAATAGCCAGCAGGCATCCTCAATGGCACTGATGTGCACCTGCACCATCTCTTCACTGTCCACCTCTAGATTTTTTTTCTGTATTTGTTTGTACTATCTCAATTTTTAAATGTAAAATGTTGTGGTATTAAGTATATTCATATTCTTGTGCAACCATCATCACTATCCATCTCTAAAACTCTTTTAATCTAGCAAAACAAAAGCTCTATAACATTAAACAATAACTCCCCATTTCTCTTTTCTTTATCCTCTGGCAACCATCATTCTACTTTGAGTCTTTGTGATTTTTGACCATTCTAAGTACCAAAATATAAGTGGAATCATATGGAATTTAACATTTTGTGACTGGCTAATCTCACTTAGCATAATGTTCTCAAGATTTATCTGTGATATAGTGTATGTCATACTTTCTTCCATCTTAAGGCCGAATGATATTTCATTATATGTATATACCACATTTTGTTTATATATTACTCTACATAAACATGGAAAACTGGGTTGCTTTTACATCTTAGCTATTGTGAATAATGCTGCTATGAACATGGGAATACAAATATCTCTTGGAGACTCTGCTTTCAATTTTTTTGATATATAAATGAAAGTGTGATTGGGGGCTCATATAGTAATTCTATTTTTAATTTTTTGAGAAACTACCACTGTTTTCCACAGTGGTTGTACCATTTTACATTCTCACCAATAGTGCACAAGGGTTCCAATTTTTCCACATCCTCATCAACATGTTATGTTGTTGTTGTTGTTTTGTTTTGTTTTCTGTTTGTTTTTTATAATAGCGTCTCTACTGGGTGTGAGGTGGCACCTCATTGTGGCCTTGATTTGCATTTCCATAATATTTAGCAATGCTAAGTGTTTTTTCATATGTTTACTGGTCATTTATATATCTCCTTTGGAAAAGTGTCTATTCAAGTACTTTGCCAATTTTGAATCAGTTTGTTTATTTTTGTTTTCTTTAAAAAATTCTCGGGCTGGGCGTGGTGGCTCACACCTGTAATCCCAGCACTTTGGGAGGCTGAGGCAGGCAGATCACGAGGTCAGGAGATTGAGACCATCCTGGCTAACACAGTGAAACCCCATCTCTCCTAAAACTCCAAAAAAATAGCCAGGCATGGTGGCAGGTGCCTGTAGTCCCAGTTACTCGGGAGGCTGAGGCAGGAGAATGGCCTGAACCCGGGAGGCGGAGTTTGCAGTGAGCCGAGATCGCGCCACTGCACTCCAGCCTGGGTGACAGAGCAAAAATCCATCTCAAAAAATAAAAAAAAAGATCTATATATTTTGAATATTAATGACTTATCATATATATGATTTGCAAATATTTTCTCCCATTTTTATGTTGCTTTTTTATTCTGTGTCTTTGACACCCCTTTACAAAATCACAAATTCCAACTTGTCTATTTTTTGTTGTTGTTGTCTGTGTCTTTGGGGTCATAGCCAATAAATCCCTGACAAATGCAATGAAATGATGCTTTTGCCCTATGTTTTCTTCTAAGAGTTCTATAGACTCAGTTTTCATTTTAGGTCATGAATCACTTTTGAGTTTGTTTTTGCATATGATGTTAGATAAGGTCCAACTTCATTCGTTTGCATGTAGAATGATCATAGCACCCATCTTAAAAATTATCTGACCAATTAAGTGAAAGTTTATTTTTGGATTTTCTATTAAATTACATTGGCCTGTATTTCTGTTTTTATGCTAGTACTACTCTGTTTTGAGTATTGTAGCTTTGTAGTTAGTTTGAAATCAAGAAGTATAAGTTCTCCAGCTTTGTTATTTATTTTTCTTTTTGGCTATCTGGGGTCCCTTGAAATTTTAAAGATAAGTTTTAGAATAAGTTTGTTTTTTTAAAAAAATTATTTCTACAAATAACATCATTGGGATTTTAATAGAAATTGCAGTAAATCTGTAGATTGCTTGGGAGAGTATTAACATTTTAACAATATTAAGTCTTCCCATCCATGAACATGGGATATTTTTCAATTTAGTTATGTTTTATTTAATTTCTTTCCAAAATGTTTTGTAGTTTTCATTATACAAGTCTTTTATCTCCCTGGTTAAGTTAATTCCTGAGTATTTTATTCTTTTGGATACTATTGCAAATTGAATTGTTTTCTTAATTAACTCATTCATTTTCAATCTATGAAAATGCAAATGATTTTGTGTGCTGATTTTGTACTCTGATACTTTGCAAAATTTCTTAGTTCCAACATTTGTGTATGTGTGTGCAAACATGAAACATGTGTATGGAATCATTAAAGTTTTCTATATGCAAACTCATATCACCTCTAAACAGAGATAACTTTACTTCTTCCTTTTCAAATTGGATCTTTCTCTCTTTCTCTCTCTCTCTTTTCTTTCTTTTTTTGCCTAATAGCTCTGGTGAGGACCTCTGATACTATGTTGAACACAAATGGTAAAAGTAGACACCCTTGTTCTGAATCTTCAAAAAAAAATTAGAATCGAAAAAGTATAGTTTTATCTGTACCCCCGATAGCTAAAAAAAAAATAAATTACATGACACATGCAACTTATACAGATTTTTCAACAATCATTAACAAAGAAAATTTAGAAAAGGACAGTCAAATCAAACTTCCTCCATACTGTCTACAAATAAACTCACAATGACCAATAGAATGTGACCTCTTATCTCCATCATCCCCATTTTGAGATGGTAGAAAACGTGTATTCTCATGATCAAATTTTCAAACTCATCCTGGCAATTTGTTTCACACAAATTGCTTGTTAACATTTTCATTTCAATAAATTCCATCCATCTGTCTGTGTTTATTAAATATCTGTTTTAAACCACATGATTCTTAAGTTTAAAAGGTTAATTTTACTGTAATTACTAAATATTTAGATAAGAAAAGTGCTATTAAGACGTGAGAATATTATTGTTATATAATCACTTTTTTTCTTCAGGAACCCACTGTGTATGCCTACATATAAGTATATCCGTAAAATTATATAAATGATGGAATTAACTGAATAAACTTTTGTTTGAAATCTAAATGCTTTCTACTCTACTGATATTCTCATTACAAACTTTACAAATGAACACAAAATTTACTCAGAAAATCAGAATTTTAAAGCAAAATGAAACCTGAGTGATTATATGAGGAAACGAGGACCTAGAAATGCTAAGTGTCCTGTCCAAGGAGAATTAAAATATACAAATAAATTACTGAACAATGAACTAGAAAGAACAAAACTACTGATTTTAGCCCAGAACTTATTTTGGTTTTAAGTAGTCAAAAGTATTATTAGTAGATTGTGACTATTTTCCTTCCATCTGTTTCCTTGTCTAAGAAACTTTAAGGACAGACTTAAAATGTTCTAGCTAATATTACTGCCATTAGTTTCTGATTTATAATGTGGCATATTTCAAAGCTATGTATTATCCTTTCTTTTTTTCCTATTTTATTGGTTGACCTGAATGCTTTCTTAATTTCACTTCACTGTAATTATACCTCTTAATCTATGCTAAATAATTTCTCCTTCTCCTCCTTAGAATATTTTCTCTCACTTATTGCCTAGCCGAGTTACCCTCTAAACTTTCATCATAAGTCAAGTTCTTCAATTACTTCCTCCAGAAACTCTCACTGACTTCTTTACATACATCTAACACAGACATACTGTAATAATTTAGGGCAGGCTGGGCGCAGTGGCTCACGCCTGTAACCCCAGCACTTTGGGAGGCCAAGGAGGGTGGATCATCTGAGGTCAGGAGTTCGAGTCCAGCCTGGCCAACACGGTGAAACCCTGTCTCTACTAAAAATACAAAAATTAGCCAGGCGTGGTATCATATGCCTGTAATTCCAGCTACTTGGGAGGCTGAGGCAGGAGAATCACTTGAACCCGGGAGGCTGAGTTTGCAGTGAGCCGAGATGTTTCCATTGCTCTCCAGCCTGGGCAACAAGAGCGAAACTCCATCTCAAAAAATAATAATAATAATTAGGTGGATTGCTTATATAAAAATTAGCCATAGGTTTTATTTACTTTTCTATCATCTAAGTACCTATTATCCTCACTGTTTACTACAACTGTTCTGTATATTTTATTATATGTATAAGTATGTTTATTTATGTAATGTCTGAAAAATGTTAAATAGCTTACTATGGACAGACTGCAATTACCAAATTTAATTATTTCTATTTATCTCACTTTTAGTTAAGATGAGAAAACTATTCAGGTATCAATTTTATATTTTTATTATAATAAAATCTCAGAAATCCTCCTAAAATAAATGTGAAGATACATTTATTTTACATTTATTATTACAATAATAAATACATTATTATTGTATACTTTCAGCCAATGTAGTATATAGATTAAATAGATCATTTCAAGGAGCCAGGAGATATGTTGATATTTAAATTGAGTGAGCCTTGCTTATCAATCTGTAATGGGTTTGAAATTATTTCTAGACAATAGCACTGAGTTGACACATAAGCACCTGATTGAAAAAAAAAAGAGAATCACCTAACACATGGCATAGAAATGGTGAAAATAATTATTAACAATGGTAATATTACAATACATAGAAAGCGGGATGCTGGCAGTTGTGAATGAGATCGTTCAAATAACACAGACAAGTGATTTTAAAGCAGTTCAGAATGTCTAACAATTTTTTTTTTTTAAAGTGAGTTTTAGGTCCAAAGGAAATAGAATTTATCTTCTTTGGAATTATAAGCCCATTTAAATTATTTAGATAACCAAGAATTACTTATGATTCTTACTGCTACTTACAAATGCCTGTGGAAACAAGCAAATCACTTTCCTAAGTGCTTAAAGATATTTATCCACAAAATCCACTCTTCCTCCCTGACCCTTAAAAAAATGACGCTAAGTGTAACAGGTTCCAACATAATAAACTGCCAGAACACATTTCATGGTGCAGTGCAAATGACAGACACAATGGAATACCTGTTAGAATAAAGTAGATTTCATTTTCCCTACAAGTTAGGTGAGAATGCTGATCTCAAGTATCTGTTCTGTCAAGTCAAAGGTTGCAGCACAATAGCAAATTCAGAGTATAGGTGCATGTATTAATAGCCTGTTGAAGAAAAGAGCAACACTTCTAGTAATTATAAGAAGTTGCTCCAGATGAAAAACATTAATTCATGTCTGTGATACATTGTTTAAGACTCTCTCAGTTGCCTTAATACTATTTTTAAAACCCCTTCACAGGGAGCATACTCACCCCATCTGGCCTGCCATCTGAAGCTGTGATGATCAGAATGTAGCGATCAGTGCTTTCCCTGTCCAGTGCTTTCCCTAAGGTTAGAATCCCCGTGCTAGTGACAAAACAAACAAACAAATAAGACAAAAAGAGATATTATGTCACAAGGAGAGTCTTCTTAGTATAGTGAATTACTTTTGATAGCTTTTTTTCCCCTCTCAGTAATCACAGCTTGAGTATTTTAGATGTATAATACTAAGATTCATTCTGAAAATTGAAAACAGCTTTTAAGGCTGTCAAATTTCTTAGCAGTATCCATGAAACTGACACTGAGCTGATTTCCTACCTTCCAGGAAACAAAACATAACAAAACTGTGCTTAATTCATTCCAAGAAGAACAGTATCTATCTTGTTTTCGATTATTTCAAGAGAAAAGACTTCATTATTCCTTAGCAGTCTCAGAATTCTTTGAAACAAGGAATGGTTTCCTATAACTAATGTATATCACCTCCCAATTTATGTCATATGTATGTCCATTATGAAAATGCAAAAACCCATCTAAATGTTATCTCTGACAAACTCTATGGATAAAAGTTTTTCTTTTTTCTTACTTTTAAAATAACAGAGACCCATTGTACAAAATTAGAAAATAGAATTTTTTCAAATTACAGAAATTATGTTTTTTGTAATGTTTCTTTTTGTACTTTATTATAACCACATTTAAATATATGATTGTTTCAGAAGAGGAATCATTCTGCATATTTTACATTTTTTAAGAAAATATAATTGTATTAGAATTCATGTTCTCATTTTATAATTTGTTTAAAACCCCTTTTGTGGCTACACTAACAATTTTAGTATTTTGTTATTCTTTGGAAATTTAGCTGTTTCTTAATTTAACTGATGTATAATGGGAGATTAACAGCACTTGGGAAAATTATTGCACTTACAATATTTTTAATACCTACTCCTTATCTTTTCACTGCTCAGAATAAATGTTTCCAAATATTTAAGACTTTATTCACCCATGTAATTTATTTTATAACAGTTTGGCTTGCTCTCTAATGTAGGTTCTACATTTATTTCTTAAATTTTACATCTGATATTGTACACATTTTAATCGAGCCTAACAAGTATCCACTGTGTAGAAGAGTTTATCTGAATATAATAACACATTAAAATATATGTACCAAGTCCAAAACATAAATTGTTTCTAATGGATAAAATGCTTTCATTTTAAGGTAAGTGCTTTTATTGTAAAGAAAATTTAAACAATTCATATCACATATGGTAGTTGAGTACAGAGAGTCAAAGCCGATGAATCAAAATAAGAATCACAGTTACTCAATTTGCTTATTATGTTGTAATGGTTGACGTGGACTTTTTAAAAAGTTCTGAACATATGGCATGCCCATGAAAAACTGACTTTGCTTCCTGTACATTTTAAAAATGTTTTGTCAAAATAATTGAAAACCAGTTCCCAGAGCATGTTCACAACAATTAAGTTTGGACCAGCTTCCTACAGTACAGAAGGTCCAGATAATCCCATTTTAAAATTACATTAAATGAGAAAAGTAAGACATGTATTTCTTCTGAGGCTTATTCACAAGTATCTTAAGAAACAGGAAAGCTGAAAACCTAGCCATGGTATAATAAGAGAAAGAAAGAAAATTGAGTTACCATTTTCATTTTGTTTCTTCCCTCAGTTAATTATCTATATTCCTCCTTGTACATTAAATTAGAAAATTACTAAAAAGTATATTGTATATTTACGATGAATTACAAAACTCACGTGATAACTGAGTTGATTTCCTACCTTCCAGGAAACAAAACATAACAAAACTTCGCTTAATTCATTCCAGGAAGAAAAATATCTATCTTGTTTTTGATTATTTCAAGAGAAAAGATCCATTATTCCTCAGCATGTTCAGAATTCTTTGAGACAAGGAATGGTTTCTTATAAATAATCTATATCGCCTCCCAACTGTATATAGTATTTGGAATATATATGTATACTCTATATATACTATTTAGGATATATAATACTATATGTATTATTCCAAAAATACTATATGCCGTGAACAATATAGTATACAGTATATTCATACTTAGGGCCATTTTAAACACAAACAGCTAATTGTCTATGGTCTGGTGATTATTATAGAGGTAGTTTTTATGTAATACGCGGGCCTTGCGACTCAGTGTTGTAGGCAGTTGTGTGGTATATTTGGGCAATGCAGAAGGGGAGAAACACAGGCAGTGTATTTTGGGATTCATAGCTGAAAGACTAGTTTATGGGTTTACCTGTGCATCCTTTTATTAAATCCGAGAAATAGCTCACAAAAAGTCTTATTACCAGCTAGATGGAGGCTATCAGGCCAGGATACATTGGGGTACACTTAGTAATGCAATACACCTTATAAGTTCACATATTAAAAATACATAAGCTTCTTCAATTGATAAAGCATCAATAACACTGCTACTTATACAGGATTGAAAATACATTTCCCAGGAGTGATGTCAGTGGAAATGGAGAAGACAGCCCCAAGAGATGGTCTCGCCACAAAACGTCAAAAAATCACAATTAAGCAGGGACCTTCAACAGCAAATTTGATGAAACTCTGGAAAACAGTCACAGGTTTATAGCAACCAGATGAAGGCAGAATTTGTTTTAAAAAAAGGTAAATCAAATCTGGTAGAAGAACTCTGTGGCATTTTGACTTGTCTTTATCCTACCATCTCACTGGCTCAGAGTGGCCTTGAAAACATCAGTGAACATTCCCAGTGTGACACTATGGTCTTTGTTTCTGGAGGGAGCGAGCTATCCTTATTCATAAAGAACTGTGGGGGTCTATTCTAGTCTGTCTGGAGACTGCCTGAAGGAGTGATTCATGGCACTTATCTTTGTTTCATCAAACTTGGAAATCACTCAAAGCAGAAAAGCAGTGGGCATTCCTCAGAAATATTGTAAGGCAGGGGATAGCCCACAAACACTTGAGGCGTATAATAGAGTGCCAAAAACTTGCCAGGAAAGTCTGGGTAAATAGTTTCATGGAAAATTCAGGCACTCAAAAGTGTACTGGGGAATACAGAATAATAAATATAATTGAGAATTCATAAATATACCCACACATCTACAGTCATCTGATTTTCAACAAGAATGCCAAGACCATTCAAAAG